>NC_000006.12:969090-1120606 GCF_000001405.40 Homo sapiens | reverse complement strand
GACATTATTGCTTAGAATGAGGCTAAATGAAAAAGAGTCAATTTGTTTAAAGCAGATTTAAAAAAGAGTGTTAAGTAAATGTAGAAAAATTGTAGGTGACTAAAATCTGAGAAGCAATGTTCTTAATGCTTGTCCTTTTGTTGGACAGTTAGGTAGTTTCCAATGTTTTGCTATAATAAACAATGCTGGATGAACGGCTCTGTGCATAGCTCTTTGTTTACATATGTGATTATTTCTTTAGCATGGACGCCTAGAAGTAGGGTTCTTAGGTTATAAGTTGATATTATGAATAGTAGCACTGGTTTTGGCTCCACAACAGTGAAATCTTGGAAAAATAATTTTGTCTCAGTTTCCTAGTGCTTTTGTGAATGAAAAATAAAAAACGTAAACTTTAATTCATAGGATCAATATAGTAATGCAGATCAATTAAATATATACCCAAAGATCTTTGAGCTCTCCAAGCTTCTCTTCAGTTGTGTATCCAACTCCAGCAGCTACGTGCTTGTCAGAAGGAACGGTGCTTTGAGAGCTCCTGACAGAGGTAATGGATGCTTCTGGCTCATCGCTTCCTTCTTACCCATTTCACCAGAAGAACTGGAGGGGAAAATTCAGGTCACAGGGACAGGACACAATGGCCCAACCAAGGCTACACTACACAGGGCAAGTAGGACAGGTACTAGAAGCTGGAGACTCCAGAGGGTGAAGCATGGTGTCCAAGGGGTGCCTCCTTCTTTGTTCTGATTCACCAATGGATAACTTTGGGTGATAACAAATAGGACATAAAAGGGGCAAATGATAGTCAGTACAGATTACCAAGAAATTACTAACAATTGATGCTCTAGGCAGAAGGCAATTACCTGAAAACTGTATGGGCAGCACACAAGTTCAACTGCTTGAAGTGTGAACTAATTTATGAATTTACAGGTAGATTCATTAAGGAAGCCATAAGTGATAACTGGGGTTGACTTAGGCGGGAGAAATTGGTATGAGGTAGCAGGGCAACGTGCCAACACAGAATAGAGTAAAATTAACTAGCATACCTGGCTGACAGTTCAAATGACTCCTGAGTGTAGCCTTATTATGTGCTGATCTCCAGCCGAGCCAGCCAGCTGTAGATAGCCCATGTGACAGAGGTGGCTTACTGTTCTCCAGTATCCACTCTCCCATGGTGCCTTCTGGAACCCCTCTAGCTGTTGGAAACATGATCACCCATCTGCAGACCACATTTTCTTGTCTACCTTGCAGCTCTTTGTGACCGGGGGTTAAGTTTGATCCAATGGGAGGTGAGTAGAAATGAAGATACATTCGATGTCTCTTCTCTGTTTTTCTCCTGTTAGTTGGAGAAACTTGTAAGCCAGGTGCTGTCAAGACTCTCTCACCTTGGACCATTCATCACTGTCTTGCTACCTAACTGTCTTAGTCTGTTGAATAGCACTGACTGGGTAATTTACAATAAAAGGAACTTATTTGGCTCATGCTTCTGGGGGCTGGGAAGTTCAAGATTGAGGGGCCTTCTTGTTTACATCATCTCATGGCAGAAGGTGGAAGGGCGAGAGAGGGCAAGAGAGAGACAAAAGAGCCAAACTCATCCTTTCATAAGGAACCCACTCCTGCAATAACAAACCTATTCCCATGATAATGGCGTCAATCCATGCATGAGAACAGTGCCCCCTTGACACAAACATCTCCAATTAGATCTTACCTCCCAACACGGCCATACGGGGGATCAAATTTCCCACAGATGAACTTTGGGGGACACATTCAAGCCACAGCATTAAGAGAAAAAACTGTGTCTTATGTGGGAGATCATGTTACAGCATTATTATTGCATTTTACCTAACTAATACAATGTAATAACTGCAATAGCTACTTGTCTGGCACAAAGCCCTGCTCATTAGCAGTAGGTTATGTGTAAAATGTCCCCCATGCCCTCTGAAGCATCCTTTTGCACAAGAGGTCAACAACACAATTCTAGATGCGGGAATTTTAGTGGCTGTGAAACTGGGAAGAGAAAGCAGTTGTTCAAGTCTGATGTTATCAAGGGAAAAATTGTGCCCTCCATATCCTCAGAATAAAACAAAAACCTTTCATTATGCTTTTTTTATCTGGATGAATGACAGGGGCAGGTGGGAGGTTTATTTAGTTATCTTTCCTCTACTCAGCTGCAGAGAGAGATGTCAAGAAGGCAAAGGTCACACTGCAGGGTAAGCAGTGTAGAACATCCTGTCCATTCGAAAACCCACTCTGTAACAAAAAAAAAATGCACTTTTGAGTTTCTACTCTGTTGTTTTTTTCATGATTTTATCACTGAAACAGCAAGAGAGTAGAAATCTAAAAATATCTACTTGGACTCAGATATTCAGAAAAGCCAATTGATAGGTTGGTAATAATAGCAGGATTCTGGGATCTCGGAGCAACAGCATGGCCATTCTCTCCACTTCCTTGCTTAGAGGCAGTCGCTCGCTGCCTTCCCTCCCTGCACCCGTTTTGCCTTCTCTCCTGGCTTGGACGTAGCCCCTCACTCTATGTAGTGCCATGTCCTTGGATTGGAAAAGGGTAGTGGCCCAATGTTCCAACAGAGATGCACCAGGTTCCAAAGTGGGGAAATGACTATTTCATACTCTCATTTAAAATTCCAGTTCTATTAATAATTGATTATTGTAACAATTACAATTGTTACAGTTTCTATAATCAACATTTCTTATTTTGTTTGTAGAAAATGACAAAATGATTTAAAGTGCTCTTTTGGAAAAAGTTGATAGACTCATATTTTATTGACAATTGGACCACTCAAACTTCCTCATCCTACTAGGTCTCTTTCCAGAGACAGAATGAACTTCTAGCTGTATGTGAACTTTGTTCACTTTGGTATCGCAAACTTTGATAGATTCAACAAGATAAGGTATACCAGGAGAAAAAAAGTAGGCTGAACATAAGATTGAAAGACAGAAGACACAGGTTCAAATCTATTAGCCATGTGACCATGGCAAGTTAAATATGAAATGTATACTACCTCTCTTATGGACTGTGAAAGAATCAAAGCTGATCATATGTCAAGAATGAAATAACCCACAAATGCTATGTGATATTAATTACTCCTATTGCTGGGGCTTAGCCTTTCCCCTGCCTGCTATTCCATGCATCTGTAGGGCAGTCATTTCCAAGAATTGAAAGTGGGCCTCTTAGTTAGGAAAAGCTTTGTCTCCATCTCACCACTTTGCTCTTTTTTTTTTTAAGCTACACTATTTGGTCTGTTTTGCAATTAACATTAAGAGCATATGAGATTTTTACATTTCCCAAATGTGGATTATTTTCTAAAAAGGTTGTGCAGCATGATTCTAAGATAGAGTTCTTCATATGGCTTTATGATCTGTGAAGTCACTCAAAATTGCTTGTAAAAATGTGTGCTTGGATGTAAATTTTTCTGGAGAGAGGAGGTCTTAGTCCTTTTTCTCTTGCTATAACTGAACACCTGAGACTGGGTAATTAATTTTAAAAAAGAATTTATATCTTACAGTTCTGGAGGCTGGAAAGTCCAAGGTCAAGAAGCTGCATCTGGTGAGGGTCTTCTTGTGGTGGGGACTCACTGCACCATCCCTAGGTGGCACAGGGCATTACCTCATAGGGGGCTGAGCATGCCAGCTCCGGTCTCTCTTTTTTCTCTTTTAAACCACTAACGCCTCACCCTCATGATCTTATCTAATCCTGATTACCTCCCAAAAGTCTCACCTCTCAAATACCAGATATAGTTGGATTTTTACCCACTTAATATCACTACAATGGGGATTCAGTTTTAACATGAGATTCCAAGGGGACTAATACTCAAGTTTTGAGGTTCAGCTGAGTACTCTAGCAATGACTAGAGTTCACACATTGCTCTTTGTATGAGTCTGAGCTCATTGGTTGAATTCCTTCATATAAGTGAGGGCTGGCATTACATACTATAAATCATTTGGATGATGGACTAACATATTCACACTCTTTTATCAAATGTGGAAAGATTCTGACTATGGAATGTCTGACTTTCATGTGTCACTTCTACAAATGGTGGCCAGACTCAGGACGCTTTCCTCTCTGCACACTATTGCCTCTTGGTATTGTCTTCATCTTTACTTTCTCCTTCCTCCTTGTTGGTACAGACACCACACTGATGCCCAGCACCTTCCTCTCCCAGCCCCCGCCTGGGACTTGGCACCCTGATTGGTCCAAGCAGCAGCCCATGACTAGACTGTGGTCCAGGCTGGCGAGTCCAGGATGAGAGCATACTTGTCTCCAAACCAGCATCTCCTAATGAAAAGAAGCAGCAGCTTAAAATCATCTGATCAAGGGCTGATCCTTCATGTTCCCAGGCTCTGGGTGAAGCAGGGAGATGCTCATTTGTGCCTCTGTGCAATACTGGGGATCTCTGGACTCCATGAATAGAGTGGCTGCCATCATAATGGAGAGATTTGTCTTTTCATGGGTTTGGACCACAATGACTCAAAACCACTCTGTTTGACAGAAAGACATTCTTCTTTTTAAAGTTGAGCTTGCGACATGGCTAAGCAACGTAATATCTTTTGATGTTGATGTTTTAGTTTAAATTTAGTTGGGTTTCAGCCAAAACATAAACTAAGAGATATTGGAAAAGACCTTGGTTTGAAGGACCTACCCTCCTCTTCACTGGACTAGATCTGATGCTACCCATTGGTATGGGAGGAGAGGTTAAACCTAGAGAGTTCACTTCCTACGTGGCTGGGGCCTAGGACTAGTTAACATTTGCATCTCAGCTGTGGGGCATTGATGGGGTGTGGCAGGAAAAAGATTCAAGGAGGGAGACATATTTCCACAAGAAAAGATGTTCTTCTCCATCCCTTTTGGGAAAGATATGATATTTCCGATGGGGATACAGAGAAGGAGATGCTTGGGGTGATGGGGCCAACCTGCAAATAGGATAGCTAGGTTAAAAGTCCAGGGATCCCACTTCTGAAGGGTGGATATCTTGTGAGACACAAGGAAAAGTCCAAATTCACTAGAAATATGCCACTTTGCCAACTAGAGACTTCCTTTTGAAATCGGCCTATTCCAAGAGTAAAGAAATTTACATACACTATACCAATACTGGGAGAACAAAAGAACTGGATGACCTCAAGGGCGGGGCTAATTCTAGTACCTCTCCTCCAGCAGATGAGAGGCATCAAATATTTAAGGAACTATGCCTTAGAGTTCTAAGCCACGACAGGTAGTCACCACAGGGCCAACCACACTGAAAGAGGGGAATTAGAAAATGACTCTTGATGCTGGGGGAACTTGTTAGAGAGACAGTGAAGCCATCACTTCTCACAGCCCTAGGCAGCTCTTTTTGCTCCCAGGGATAAAAGGGATTCATCTAAGTTATCTATAAATCCCTTTCTGATATACCTGCCTCGCTCCCTCAGAGAACTCACCTTGTGAGCTGTGGTTGGGATTGCACACAGGATGTCTGCCCAGCAGGAATATTACCGTTTTTACTCCATACCAGGAACTGTAGGGGTGGGAACAAGGAAGAAGACACTGGTGGAGGTGGGAAAGGAAGGACATTACTGCAGCTGGGGGCAAGAGAGGAAGAAAAAGGAAGGAACATGTCACCGACTTTCACGCCAGGAGGAAATCTCCTGAGTTTAAACAGCTCTTTTCCATTACTTTGAGGCCTATGAAAGATGAAAGTCCTGGTCGGATTGGGTCTTGGTGTCTGGCCACATCACTTTACTCTGAGTCAGAAAAGACTTTCTGAAAAAGTACACCAGAGATGTCCAGAGACAGAGAGGAAAAGAAGCCCCCTGCACCCAGCTCAAGGTTAGGGTTAGGGTTAGGGTTAGTGTTAGGGTTAGGGTGTAGGAAGCGTAAACGGTTGCTGGTTGCTGGAGGCAAACCAACAGCCTTGTTCATTCAGTGATAGAGTAGAAGTAGCTTTTTAAACAAAAAAGTAGAGTAAGAGAGTGATCAGAGACTCTCAAAACACTCTCAGAAAGACAGTGTTCAGGAGGGTGGCAGGAAAACGCGATTCAGCTGTTCATAGGGTTGGGAGGAGCCAGGTGAAAGGGAGAGTTTGGGAAAGGAGAAAGGGGTGCTGGTGGACCAGAGGGAGAACTTCTCAAGGGGCCTTCTTCCTGGGCTGTGATGGAAAGCCCTACTAGACACATAAAAATCACAAGAACTCGCCCTGAGTGATATATATAAATACACTCGCTAATTATTACTGGAAGAGAGCATGACTAATGCAGGAGCAGATGTTTTAAAAAATAAAAGGTCACAAACATTTTCAGACTATTAAAGCATTTATTTATGTAGTAAATTTGCATCTGGATTTTGTTGTTCCTGCTTTGATCTCTTTCTCTCACACACGCAGCGAGAGGCTGGTGTTGGAAAGGTAGAATACCCAGGCACCATAGCTGTGATAGAAACAGTCAGAATGGGGCAAAGTCTCCTGAATATGCTTGTTGTTTCAAATCAGAGGAGAACGGAAATCCCCAGGATTATAAATCACTCAAAACCATCAAATGACATTGGTTATCTACACAATAACTTCAAATAAATGCCTTTTCCCCAGAACGGGGCCAAGTTGCAATGATTAATCTTAAGTTACTCTTGGGCTATTAAATAACAATCTCAAGATCTTTTTTGAAAAGCAAATGTCTTTTTCATATAAGCGAGAACCTGTAGTATTTGTTCTTCTGTGTCTGCCCTATTTCACTTAGCATAATGTCTTCTAGGATCATTGGTGTTGTCACAAATGGCAGATTCTTCTTCTTTTTTTAAAACTAGATAATATTCCATTATATTTAAATACTACATTTTCTTTATCCATTCATCCATCAAAAGACATGATTCCATATCTTGGCTGTTGTGAATAACGCTGCGATAAACACAGGAGAGAAGGTATCTCTTCAACATGCTGATTTCAATTCCTTTGCATATATACCCAGTAGTGGGATTGCTGGGTCACATGGCAGTTCTATTTTTAATTTTTTGAGGAAACTCCATGCTGTTTTCCATAATGCTTGTACCATTTTCCATTCCTACCAACAGTGTACAAGAGTTCCAATTTCTCCACATCTTCGCCAACATTTTTTTACTTATATATATGTATCTATGTGTATATATATATATACACACACACCTATATATACGCACCCACATAAACACACGCACACATATGAAATAGTCACTCTAAGGGATGTGAAATAAATTTCATCATGGTTCTGAGTTCTGATTTGTATTTCCCTGATGATGAGTGTGATATCAACTGTTTCATATACATGCTGGCCATTTGTATGTCTTCTTTGGAGAAATGCGTATTCCATTTCTTTGCCCGGTTTTCAATCTGGTTATTTTGTTTTTCTGCTATTGAGTTGTAAAAGTTCCTCAGATACTATGAATATTAATCTTCTATCAAATATATGATTTTCAAATATCTTCTCCCATTCTGTAGGTTGCATTTTCCTTTCGTTGGTTGTTTCCTTTGCTGTACAGAGCCTTTATAGTTTGATGAAATCCAATTTGCCTATCTTTGCTTTTGTTGCCTGTGCTTTCGTGGTCATACTTAGAAAATTATTGCCAAGGCCAAAGTCAGGAAGCTTTTTCTCTGTCTTTTTTTTTTTTTTTTTCCTAAGAGTCTTAGTGTCAGGTATAACTCATAGAAGCAGACAGTAGAATCATGGTAACCAGGTGCTGGGGACAGGAGGAGAGGGGGAGGTATTGGTCAAAAGGTTCAAAGTGTCAGTTCTGCAGGATGAGTAAGTGCTGGAGATCTAGGGTACAGCATGGCGCCTATAGTAACAATCCTGCCTTATATACTTAACTACTTCCCAAGAGTGTAGATGCCAAGTATTCTTATCAAAATCAGTGAATAGGGCAAGAGGAAGCTTGTGGAGGTGATGGATATATTTACGGCATTTACTGCAGTGATGGCTTCATGGCTGCATGTGTATCTCCAAACTCATCAAATTGCGCACATTAAATATGTCCAACTCTGTGTTTGTCAATTATGCCTCAATTAAGTATTTTGTAAGCTAGTAG
Source organism: Homo sapiens (assembly GCF_000001405.40). Taxonomy (NCBI): domain Eukaryota; kingdom Metazoa; phylum Chordata; class Mammalia; order Primates; family Hominidae; genus Homo; species Homo sapiens. The sequence continues at coordinate 1,112,569 of NC_000006.12, read as the reverse complement.
CAAATTTACATACTTTCAATGGTGGAGCCAATTTAGAAAGCAGTTTGGCAGTTTCTTAAAATGTTAAACATAGATTTACCATATGACCCAGCAATTCCACTCTTAAGTATCTATCTACACAAGAGAAATGAAAATATGTGACACATATGTCTACACAAAGACCTGTACACAAAGGTGCATAGCAATATTATTTGTAATAACGAAAGCATGGAAACAACCCAAATGTCCATCAACCAGCAACTGGATCAACAAAATATGCTATATCTACACAATGGAAGAATGCTCAGCCACAGAAAGGAATGAAGTGCTGTTGGGTGCCGTGGCTCACGCCTGTAATCCCAGCACTTTGGGAGGCTGAGGTGGGAGGATCGCTTGAACTCAGGAGTTCGAGCCCAGCCTGCGCAACACAGCAAGACCTTGTCTCTACTAAAAATAAACAAATAATTAATGATCATAATAAGAATAAATCAGCCAGGCATGGTGGCACTTGTCTGTAGTCCCAGCTACTTGAGAGAATGAGGTAGAAGGATGGCTTGAGGTTGGGAGATTGAGGCCACAGTGAGCTATGATGGCACCACTGCACTCCAGCCTAGGCAACAAAGTGAGATTCTGTCTCAAAAAAAAAAAAAAAATAGTTAACATATATGATGCTAAGTGAAAGAAACCAGCTTCAAAATACCACATATTGCACGATTCCACGTTATGTAATTTCCAGAAAAGGCAAATATGTACAGAAGAAAGTAGATGGGTGGTGGTGGTTGTGCTCGGAGTGGGAGTGGGCAGTGTCTGCTCATGGCAGGAGGCTTCTTTTGGGGTGATGGAAATGTTGTGAAATGAGCTTGTGATGCTGGTGCACAACTCTAAAAACTTACTGCAAATGAGCCAGTTGTATATTTAAAAGGAAATTCTGTGGTATATGAATTATACCTCAACGAAATTATACACACACACACACACACACACACACACACACGAACTTCCCCATTCCAAACCATGTCACCAACCTACGTTTTCCTCTTTTCCTCCTGGCTTGCGTTTGTTCTGCAGAGCCTGCTTAGTAAGGAGCGTCCTGGGTTCTGTTCATGCAGACACGTTCAGACATCTTTGATTCTGGAGAAATTCCCTCAAGTCACACTTTTCTAGATAATATCACAGGTGCCACATGACCAGTTTGGCTTATTTTAAAATGCATTTCAGAAGCATTAAGACCAAAAAACACTCTGCAGAAGAGCCTCGGCTAGCAAGCTCCTCCCAGTCGCCTTTTGGAATTTGCCTTTTTGTGAAACACCAACGTGTCTGTAGGTGTGGCAGTAATGGAATGTGAGGAGCACAACTGAACAAGTCACCAAACGTCAATGAACCAGCTCACTGCTGCTTCTGGAGAACAGCCCGTGACATTTTCCAAGGTAAAAACATTGGGTTTAACTGGCAGGCTGTAAAGAAGACGCAGCGTGTGAAGGAGCCTGAGGCTGTTCAGTGAGAACGAGGGGGTTCCATGTGCGCCGACGAGGATGGAGAGCCTCATTAGGTCACCACACAGAGTGCTGGGAAACAGCTCAAAACACATGACAATGGCACAGACACATACATGGTGTCTGTGCGTGTGGGTGTGTGTTTACACAGGGCATGCCAAGCTGCCCGCAGTAATTTTTTGTGAGGGAGGGGAATGAAATTGGTTGAGGAAGGGGCAGGGCAGCGTCTTTTGTTTATTTAGCATGGACATTTCTGGATTGACTTTTAAAAATGAGCATGTATGAATGTGGTAAATAAAAGAACAGAGAGCAGGTGTGATGGAGGGCTGACCAAGTTGTCTGGTTGCGTCCTGCACTCTTTAACGCCTTAAGAAATGGTACAGATGTAGGTCCCAGTACGAGGGTGGAGAACATCACCTAGGTCTGCCCAAGTACTTAGCACCACATTTTTTTTAGACACTTTGTCAGCCAGGCTGGAGTGCAGTGGCATGATCATGGCTCACTACAACCTGAAACTCCTGGGCTCAAACGACCCTCCCACTTCAGCCTCCCAAGTAGCTGGAACTACAGGCATGCACCACCATGCCTGGCCAAGTTTAAATTTAAAAAAAATTTTTTTGTAGTGACAAGATCTCACTATGTTGCCCAGGCTGGTCTTGAACTCCTGGCCTCAAGTGATCCTCCCACCTTGGCCTCCTAAAGTGCTGGGATTTTAGTTGTTAGCCACCGTGCCTGGCCAGCGCCACACTCTGGTACACCAGCCACACAGTAATGAGCCTGGTCTGTGCAGCTGCTCATTGGACATTGGAGGTTAATCAGGACCCATCTGGCTAATGAAACACTTCATTGCACTTGCTGCCCCCTGGCTTATGAACATTTTCCATCATAGCTAAGACTGGATTAATACAATGTGAAACAAGGTGACAGTTTATCCTGGAAAGACACGCAATATTAAAAATCCACATGATGGGCTGAGCCTGCCTGATTGCTTTAAAAGGTGGATTTATTTCTTTTATCCCGAAAGGAGTTGTGCCCACAAGCACTAGTGCCAGCCCTTCCATCTGTAACTTCTCCTTCTCTTTTAGAAAACTATAGTAGTTTTAAGATGGTTTTGCCCCAGGCGAAAACCTCTTCATCAACACTGTATTCACCACATGACTTTTCTGTGGTATATACATCAAGAGAAAACTACCGGATGGCTTCTTCTGTTTGTCTGTGTTCCAGAGTCTAATGCGGCTGAAGGTGGCACATCTCAGCTCCTGGTGGATATGAAATATTTTCCATCCTGGAAGGTCTGATTGGCTTGGAACAGAGCTAAGTAGGCTACGGTTCCTGAAGCCAAATCCAGCTCCAGCCTGTTTTTGTATGGCCTGTGAGCTAAGCATGGTTTTTACATTCTTAAATATTGAAAAGAAAATCAAAAGAAGAATAAATATTTTATGACATGTGAAAATGATATGAAATTCCAGTTTCAATGTCCACAGATGAAGTTTTATGGGAACACAGCCACACTCGTTCTTTGTGTATTCGTGCCCCAAGAACAGAATTCAGCATTTGTGATTCAGACCATATGACCTGCAGAGTCTAAGTATTTGTTGTCTGGACCTTTCCAGTAAAAGTTTGTTCACCTTGGCCTGGTGGAGTAATATTGGCATCAAGGTCTTTGGTAGTGCTCACTTGGCAGGAGTCCAAATTGAAGTTCTCCTTGAAGATTCCTGTAAATGGTGATTGGTAGAGGGAGTCACCCTCTAGCCATCTGGGAGGCACAGGTGACTTGTCCTGAGATGAGCTGAGTGGCCCACCTGGGGCATTCAGAGTGGGAGCCCTAGGCAAGCTAGTTAGATGAAGACTGCCATCCTTAGAGCACGGCACCACACTGCGTGTCCTCATTTCTGAGATACTGTTCATGGTAACACACACCATTGATTTAGTAACAGCTTTTCTAGGAATAAAAGACACATTGCTTGCATAATGCGTATTAATTTTGAAAATGCTAATGAGAAAATATGTTATGATTTTTAATGTGATTGCTTCCCCACCCCCACCTGACTCCCAAGTGAGCTTCCTGGGGGCTAGGACTGCACCCTTATTTGTTTTTGCAACCCAGGATTTCCCCCACAGAGCTCCAAGATGTCAGGAAACTTTGCAGAACAAAGTTTTGCAATCATTGGTGGGTTGTGGCATCAATTTAGCGAATACACTGCTGGCATTTAAGAAATAAAATAGGAAAGACGGACTAGACAGATTAGAACAGAAAGATCAGAGTAGACTAGAACACAAAACAAAAAAACAGAAAATGCACATCCCATAGCATAAGGTTCATCTACGATGCCCTTGTTTCCGTTACATATGTGAGTGATGGGAGGTCATGTCAACGTATTTCTCACCGTGGATCATAGTAAAACAAGTGTGCAAGTCCCTGCTTTGGTGCATGTATTTGAGCTGCGCTTGGTCACGAGATGAGATTGCACAAATTGGCATGTGTCACAGAAGCATAGAGCAGTGGGTGTCAGGTCAGGTGTGGCCTTCGGGTCCCCACCAGGCTGGTGAGGATGGCCAGCCCACCAGCAAATGCTTTCCCAGAGCACCTCCCAAGGCTCTATGCTGAGCTGAGTGTGATGAAGGTCACAAATCTCTAGGTGACATGATTCCTGTCCTCGGGGAGCTGATGGTCTATCAAAATCACAAAATCACACCCCAAAGCAGGAAGGAACACAGTGAGATTTGGGGATAGATGTTGAAGGTGTTGGGTGCAGAGGAGGCGGAGACCCTGACAGCTCTGCTGTGCCACAGCTGTGTTGCTCAGCCAGATCCAGACGCCTGATCTCCAGGGTGTTCACCAGCCACGTGGCATCCTCCCAGTTTCCTGAGGCAAAGATGCCGACCAAAGCGCCGTGTCAGTTCACACATGGAACACGGTCATCTCCAGGTAGGTAGACTGGACCACACAGTGCCATTGGCCTCTTTCTCTAGAGAGGGAGGCTCGAAGGTGGGGAACACAAACAGGCTGTGGACTGCCTTGGCCCCACAAGAGTCTCAGGCCCCAGGCCCTAGAACTTCAACAGGAGAGGCGAGTTGAAGAAAACCACCCCAAAGGAAAGGAGGAGCAGAGCAAATATCTCCCTGAGCTGCCAGGACCCATCTAAGCAGCCTGCTGGATTGAAGCAGGAGACGGCAATGTGAGGAATGGGGAGGAGGGCAAGCTGTGCACGAGATGCCACCCCACAATGAAACACCAAGGGACTGCCAGCATTGTGCTCCGGTAAATGCCCTTCATCCTGATCCAGCCACCAGGTGAGAAGGAGGGAGCCCTCACCTCCAACCCACCTCCCAATTCATTAGGGTTTCCCACAACTGGCAACATGGCTGGAAATCCTGCTGAGGAAGATGAGATGGGGCCTGTGCTGGCCCATGGGACATACTGGGAGCAGAGGATGCAGGTGTCTACAGGATGGTTAGCAGGCGAGTGTGGCAGAGTCAGCAAGGTTCAGCACACTGAACCTTGCATCAAGTGGAGAATGGGAGGAGGAAATTGAGATTCGGGGTGAAGAACAGGCCAATCAGAAAGGATGCAGGAACGAGCACAGGATGCTTATTCTTCTGGGCTCCTCTAAAATGAGAAGCCTTCCTTGTCATCCATCCCCATCCCCCAGCAGCCTAGGGGATGGGCGGTGGCTCCCTCTTCTCCAATGCTGCCCCCTCTGCAGGTATCTGCGTGTTTACTTTCCTTTGCTATCATTACTGACTTCTGAAGGGGAAGGATCAGGTCTCCCCTACTCTCATGTGCCCAGAGCCTCTGGGCCACAGCCCCTGGTGCAGAGAAGCAGCACTGAGAGCAATTTTGATGAATAAATGAATGAATGAGGAAACGTGGCGGGTAATTATTCAGTCATTGCTACTGTCTGAATGTTTGTGTCTCTTCAAAATTCATAAGTTGAAATTCTCACTTCCAGGGCGATGGTATTAGGAGATGGGACCTTCAGGAGGTGAGGAGGTCATAGGGGTGGAGCCCTCATGGATGGGATTAGTGCCCTCATAAAAGAGCCCTAGAGAGACCCCTGGCCCCTCCTGCCACACGAGGACGCCACTAGAAGCTGCCATCTATGAAGCAGGGAACCTCACCAGACACCATATCTGCAGATACCTTGATCTTGGACTTCCCAGGCTCTAGAGTTGCAGGACAGTGAACAATACATTTCTGTTGTTTATAAGCCACAAATGCTTATAAACAACAGCCCAAACAGACTAGGAAAATCATCTTCCGAAGGTATGAATGGTGAGCTTCAAAACATCCCCTTAGGGTTGAGAAGGGAAATTAGCTTAATCTGAACCTTGGGCATCTGGTGCAGCTACAGCAGAGAATTTCCTGTTTCAAGTGATTTCAAAGGTGAACAAGTTCCTAAGAAACGTAAGATTACCTAAGTCCGATCACAGAGGCCCATGGAAGCACGGTGGTCTAAGTACGATTACTACAGAAGAGATCTGCCAACAAATGACTTAGAAAAGAACCTCAGGATATCTGTCGGCTCAAAGACATTAGGATTTTAGGCAAACTAAGAGTTTGAATCTTATGCTGGTTGCTTTCATCCAAATCCAAATTTTTGGCATTGTGTTTTAGGGACTGTATCTTCTTCACGTCTGTGTTCTTAGAACCACTTAGCAGAGGGTCCTGGCCGTTATAGGTGCTCTAGGCATACATTTGTTTAAATCCACCTGGTTTAGTTTCATTCCATTTTATGGCAATTAAATACAGGTCTGAGTTTTGTTTGTTAAAATGATTAGGTTTTTTTTTCAAGTGTGATTAATTGGTATGAGTCAGCAGCTATTTAAACTCTTACTAAACAGATACATAAGAAACGAGGGATACTGTTTTCTTCCACAAAAATGTTCCAAAAAAAATGTTCCAGCTGAACATTTATTTCAGCTGGAATTTCAGTGACTTGAATGCAGAATGAATCCCGTGGCTCACTTCCTAGACTATTTGCCAAAGAAGATGTTGCCCTGGCCATGATCAAGATGACACAAACGGTGGCCTTTTGCAGGGAGAACCGCCGTGGAGGCCTGTGTCTGTGGCACTGGTAGCTTCTCTCTGCAGGCAAAGACCCCATGGCTTAGTTCTTCATCAGAGTGAGAATTCATCTTCCACCTTGAGTGGAACAGAATGTCAAGGAGTGCATGAAACCCTAGGTTTGAATTGATGAACCACAGGTCTCAATTTTCCCTTTTCCAAAGATAACGATGACTTCAAAGAACCAAAGACTACGATGACAATGTATTGCAGGATTTTGCATTTCAGAAAGCATGCCTACACAATTACCTTGTTTGCCTCATGCCTTCTTTGCTGGCATGGGCTGGGCAACTATTACTATTAAGAGATGAAAATATGGAAGGTCAGAGAGGTTAAGAGAACAATTCAAGGTCAGGCAACCAGGGATTGAGCCCCTGGAGCCAATGATTTCACACGGAACTCCTCTCTGTGCAGCATTCTTTGCCAGCCATCCTTCCCTTCTGCTAATGGACTAGGGCTAAGACCATCACGATCTAGGTGTGAGGTCATTGGCAGAAGATGCAGGCAAGGACAGGTCTGTGTAGAGAGATTTCCCAATGTTGGAGGCTTTCCTCGCCTTGCTGTTTCTGTTCTGAAGGACGTTCTGGAGGCTTTGATGCAGTGTGAATGAGGCCTTGTTCACAGTTTATTTTCATTTGTAGATGTGTAATCACCTAAAGTAGTTATGTTATGGCTACCTCAGGAACGCAGGTTGTAGTATCTGAGCTTGTGCATGTTCCCACAGGCAGTCCCAGTGGTCATAAGTCCCAATGCCACATGGAGTTTGTTTATACCCAAATATACAGTAATTTCAGTTCACTGGAATCCACACCCCCACCTGCTAGAGGCACCTCTCCGGAAGGTGTCCAGACAAAACCAAAGGGCTTGTCGTCTGCTTTCCTGCTGTTTCTAGAATATACTCAGCTCTCAATTAACATAAACCTCATTTGGTTTAGAAAACATCCATTTGGTTTAGAAGTCAGTGTTGTTTTCAAATTGCATCTCTAGCAAACGATTTTTTTTTTAGGTCTAATAAGCACTGAATAGATTGTATTAGGTTAAAAGCAATTGATTCCCAATAAATAAATTCTGCCAAGTTATGCTCGGGAGTGTGAAGCAACAGTGTTTATTGGTTCTTATCTACGATCATCAAAACCTGTTCCTCTCCTCTCCTTCCCTCTTTCCCTGCCTTCCTTTTTCTTTCCTTCTGTCCTCATACTTGACTTCACCTACTTGCTATTATGAGGAAAATATTAATTCCCTTTCTAATGTCTATATTCTAGCATGTCGCCTCATTAAATTCCCCTGGGTGTGCCCTTTTACAATTAGTGCTACCAAGTAAATAAACTTCAAAGGGACGTGTGTACACACACAGACACATGCACTCAGAGACACACACGTTCATTTGCATGCCAAGAAGAGCCCCCATTAAAGTCTATTAGCCCCCAAATGAGGAAATTCAGAGCTCTGAGCTCTGCACTGATTTTATCTCATGGTGTGGAGAGAGTTTACAAATAACTCTTAAGGTAAAATGCCATTTTTTTCCCCTGTATGTAAAGTTAATATTAATGTTGTGTAGAAGGAATGCGGCTCTATTTCTTTTTGAGTGGCATTTTCTCATTGTCACTCTCCAACCCTATTCTTAGAGACCCTTAGGTGGTATTGTGTGTATTCTTTTGTAGAATAATGAAATGTTTATATTACACAGTCCCATTGTAAGATCAATCCACCCCTGCTGGGGGATTCATAAACATCATCTGCAGGTGGTCCTGGTGTGTCATCCCCCAGAAGAGGAGCTTTCATTTCAGGAAACAACCTTGCTGAGGTCCCACACAGCCCAGGACACCAGACCCAGTGCTGCAGCCCACGGCTTCCCGAAGCCCAAACAGTAACTGATGGTGTTGTCACCAATCTTGGCTCTGAAACTAGCATGTTTTAAATTCCTGCTTCTCCAAGCCTCCTGGGCATGTGCTCTGTAGCCAAAAAGAGCTGGTAATTACACGTGGCTTCTGAGGAACGAGGGTCCAGGCGCTTATCTGGGAAGGGAGATTGGTCCAGACCTTCAGCCTCTGGGCCCCATTCCTCTTCTCATTCTTCAGCGTAGCAACTTGTTCTTAAAGCAGAGGCTGATTTCTGTCTGCATCTCTCAAGCGGCACCTTTGTTTAGCCACTAAGTTTTCTCAAACTGGAAATCCATATGACGAAGTATAATTTTATGGTCTCCTATCATATTTGGTTTTTCTAGAAACATTCAAGAGCTTGTTCCTTCTCACTTAGACAATATTACTGTCATCAAGGTGTGTCTTCTCCTAGTTCCAGAACCACTTCCTGAATTTAAAATGCTCTTCTGGACATTTTTTTTTTTTCCAGATAATGGCAAAGAAAATTGGTCCAAAGAAAGTGGAAAATTGTCAGAGGGCAGTCACCACAATTTTTTTTTCTTCTGTTTTCACATCTGTTCAATCAATATCAGCTCCTGGCCTCAAGGCAGTGTGACCTAGAGGCAAGAGCCCTAGGAAGCTGGGGATCAGAGGACAGCATCTCATGCTGCCTTTAACCAGGGGCACCGTCTCACAGCAAACCCTTAACCTCTCTGGGTCAGGGAGCTCCTTTTTCAACAAAACAGGTTGGTCTAGATGGGTTCTCCTGTGCTTTCCAACTCTCTACTTTCTATTATTCTGAACTTCATGCCTCATTGTATCTGTGCGCCTCTGGTAGAGTTGGCATAAACCCAAGCATATGTTATTGGCTTAGAGAAAGAAAACATTTCTGGGTCTGTGAAATCATAGGCTTTGCTTGACGAAGCTTCGAGGTGTGCGGGCTCTCTTAGTGCAGCGCAACAAGCCATCAGCCGGCAGAAAGCTATTTCTGTAGCGGAGTGTTAAAAGACTGGTATTCTTCAGTGAAGAATAATCTGCTGAGGGCAATGTGTTTTTATTCCCTCTGGGATTTATCTGTCAACGGGCAGATGGGAGAAGAAGCAATAAACTATGAGCTTGCATATGTCAAGGCTTTGATTCTAGGGGGTGACTTCCAGGCCCTGCTTGAGTAGGAGACATTGTCAGGGAAGAAAATTTTGGACTCTCACTGTTACTTCCTGATCTCAGAACACAAAGCCTAGTTTTTGCTGAGTCTTTGAGGAAACTCCATGAGCACTCGGCTTCTCTCTCGTGTTTTCTGAAACCAGAAGTAGAGAGAAAGAGGCAGCTGAGCCCTACAGAACCAACCAACTGTGGAGACCAGCAGCGAACCCAGCGTGTTTGTCATTGGTTTGTGAATCTTATACGCTGTTCTCTTTGGGATACCTATTTCTCCTGGGTCTTTACATGGTCCTGGATCAAGAAACACCTTTTAACAACTCCCTTCAGACCCTGCACTCCCGTGCATTCAGAGGCCTCCTTGGCTTAGCGTGGTGGCAACCCCAGGGTCCAGGTGATTCTGTTGAAGATCTGAGAACAGAGCTTGCTTCTTCCTGCCACCCAGTTTGATTGGACCTTCTCCAGACTTCTGGGTGCATTTCCAGAGCATTTACACAAGGAATTATGTAGGGGTCATTGTGACAATGGTTGTTTGTGGCTTCTTTGTATAAACCTTCTGTATAGAAATTCCAGTTGATCAAACAGATAAACGGAGAGGTGATCAGTCACATTGCTAGATGACTTTTCTCTACCTAGGAAAGGATTCTTTATATATTTAAATAGGAACTCCTGTCCCCATTTCTTCCTGGCTCTGCCTTGCTCTTATCTTGACTGGTCCAGACATTTCCTGGCATCCAGGGCATCAGGGAGGCTGTAAGTCTGTGTTTGATGGTAGCTGTCCTTCTTCAAACTGCTGGCTGGAAGGCAGCGGTCCCTGCTGGGTCCCAGAGAGCTAGGAGTGCAGCTTGGAGAAGTCGGCTCTCTCATCGTGAGTCTTCCAGAAGAGAATAGTAGAGGACAGCAAGGACAAAGGGCGTGACCAGGAGACACATGGCTTGGGGGAAAGAGCACTGGCATGTACATCAGGAGGCTGGACACCAATCTGCTTCTGCCACCAGTTCTCAGGGCAACTGTAGGCTAATGAGGTCACCTCTAGGGGCTTTCTGTTTCTTCCCCCGTGAACTGAATACTGAATGATTTCTAAGGCAACTCTCAGCACAAATATATTATGATGCTTTAGCGTGAGAGAGGTGGGATTTGATGTGGGGAGGGCAGAGCTGAAACAAGCATTTGAAACTGACACTTCGGGCCGTGGTCGTTTAGAGATCTGTTAGAAGGGAAGACAGACATCTTTAGAAATAGATATCAATGAAGGGGAACTCTACTTGATCTATTAAACATCATGAATGTCCATCTGGCCCACTACTGGATCTTGAGGTTTTTGAGGGCAGGGACTCAGCCTGGCTTACTCACTGCTAGGTCACTATCACTAAGAACTGCACCTGACATGATACCCTCAATAAACAATTATTAAATGAATGAATGAGATGACAGTGGTTGCCGTTGCTTCTGCTGTCAAACACAGACTCCATTTCCTGTTTTCCAGGGTCCTGCCTACCCATCTGAGGACATGTCTGCTCATCACCCATGTGCATTCTGTCACAGTGGGACCTGTGTGTGTTCCCTGCTCATTGTCGTTTCCATGGTTTTGCTGATTCTATGCGATTCTTCCAGGCCACTCCAAGTTCCACCTCTTCCACGAAGCCCTCCTTGATTGCTGGGCCCTGGTTGAACTCCTTATTAGTAACACCCAGGTTAGTCCTACTTAATTCTTACCTGCAGCCAAAGTGGACTTAGCATCTCCTTGCATGCCTGGTAAAGTCAAGGGTTTTCAGCCAGGGCCTGTGTATAAAGCAGAAGCAGCACAGAGTCTGGTTTGAAGCTTAGTGCTTGGGTTCAGACAGTTGTGGGTTACAATCCCTTCTACACATGTTCTCTGTGGAAACCATTTGGTTCTCTGTGCTTGGAACTCGCCTGCAACGGGACAAAGCCATCTCACCTAGACTGTTGTTATGAAGATTGAATTAGGTGATTCTGAGAGGCATTTATGCGTCCTCCCTGAGTAACAATCCATGAAAAGTGGGCGTCATTGCTGAAGCTCAAGGAAGAAATATGAAATTTGATTATATCCTTATTCACGGCATTGGGTCACCAACTCAGCACTTTTTATGAAAGTAGCATCTGACCTGGCAAAGGCTGTGTCATCTTATTACCTCAGAAAGACAAATTTACGGGGTCAGACGATGGATGGCTTGTAGATTTCTCAATGGGCTGGAAGGAAGGAGAGAAAAAGAGAGACAGGAGAGAGTACACATTTAATTCTGCTTCCCCTAGGGTGATATTTCCTTCCTCCCCTTCCAGGGTTCTCAAAAAGGCATTCTAGGAAGTCCTGTAAAATACATGCTCATAAAAATCTCATAATTTCCACAAATTGTTGAGAATTTAAAACTCGGTTGGGAGTTTGCTGTTTCAGCCTGAGACACCGGGGTCACGTTTCAGTGCCTGCAGTCTTGAGACAGTACCAGGCATCTGGGATGAAGCTGAGGAAAGAAGATGTGGGGGCCCTGCTGGCCTGCTCCTTCTCTCGAAAGACGCTTACCGGCTGCTGGTGTGTCACAGGGCTTTAGGATTTGGAAAAACAGAGGGATTTAAAAGAAGATAGAATGGTCAGAATTTCGAGAACTGTGTGCTGAAGTGCCATCTTTAGGGTGCTCATAACACGGCCTTACAACATTAGAGGTGCTGGAATCATGGAAGAGGCATCTGGACTCTGTAATGTCCTTCCCCCTGGAAAATCTGCTCCAGAAGTGGGGGATTGGGAGCTGTCAACATATGAGCCATCTTTTGCTCCGTTCAAGATGGTAGGGGCATTCTCAACATGCCCCTCACTCTGATTCTGCCTCACTTTTATTTTAGAATTTTCCACTGCCTTTTCTGGAATGTGCTTTTTCAACCCTCAAAATCTGTAGAGAAGAAATAAGCAGAAACCGAAATGGCTTTCTGGTGTTCTCCATGCTCTCAGCTTACTGGAAAATCGAGCCGCAGGCTCGAGGCTGGACTTTAAGGCAGAGCACTGCAATTATAGTGCTATGGCCTTGGCTTCCTTTCTCATCACCCAGGTACAGTCCTGCAGTCCTCAGAGGATGCCAGTCCCACACAGGGGGATCCTTCTCCATAGGAAAACCGAGGAACAATGCAGGTTCGAGGTGCACAGTGGCTAAGCACACTCAGTCCTCAAGATCTTTCCTCTCAAATGCTAATGCTACCTTCAGATGGGCTGCTGCCTGCTACCATTTCAACATTGAGTCCTTTAAGATGCCATCAGAGAGAGGGGAAGCAAGAGGCCAAGAAAAATGAAAGGTAAGCACAAGACCAGTAGAATGAGTGGGGAGATCTGTCTGTCTGTCTGTCTGTTTGTTTGTTTGAAGTGTCTTCTGCTTGACTGCAGTTACTGTTCTTCAAGTGAGGGCGAAGCGCTTCTCTTCTCCTCTCTGATAGCTCTGCAGCTCTCTAAGTAAACTCTTTGACAAACACATCGCAGCAGCGAGTGGAAACATGTCTGAGACGCTGCAGCATAGCCCGGCTGGTTCTGTTCTTAGCAGTATTTGCTAAGTTCCATCCATTAGAATGTTTTTAAACAATGGGACGCATGTCATCTTGATTTGACAGGATAATCCTGAGTTTATAGAATTTCATCACAGTGTGTGAAACTGGTTTTTAACTTCACTATACTGGCCCTCAGCGGTGGAGTCAACTGGGCACTGAATAGAAAAATCTCCCTCCTCCGTGTTGTCCCCAGCCCACCACATTTCGCCCTAAGCTCTGCCCTGCACCAACACCAGCCTTCTTCTGGAGTTTGGCAGCTGTGGCAACTGCTGGCTGTCTCTCAACCACTTCACAATATGTATCAATGTATTCTACAAATCATTGTATTTGCCAAGCATTCTACTACTACACAGTTCTGATTCAACTGACGTGTATCTTAGAGGTCAATATATTTTCTTTTTCCCTTAGCTTGGCTAGGACTCCATAGGAAACAGCTATTTGAGTGATGATATATAGGAGAAGGATAGTACTGTATTTAACTGTCTGTTAATATCAGAGAAGATGAATATTTTTCACCTCCCTGTACATAGCTATGCATAAGCTTGGTATTCATTTATGAACAATGTAGCATTTTCAAAGGCACAACTGATTTACTTACATTAAGTCAATATAAATAAATTATGTTAGTAGATTGCGAATTTTGAAAGTTGTAATCAACATCAAAAATGAAATGTCTTGGTTGTCCAACTTAAATTATATAATGCAATTTCAACACAGTAAAAAAAAAATCACCTAGCGTAATAGTGAGAGTTTGAATCATTATTAGTTAGATTCTTGTTTGTATTAATTAAGAATTTCACAGACATTGTTTGTAAGTGAAAAAGATATTTTAAATAAGTATTTAGAACAATTTTTGTTTTGTGATCCTTCATGCTGCCTGTTGAATGAGTTAAGCAAAAAAGAATTACAAATGGTTTAAACAGAAAAGGATTGGCAAATAAATAAACTAGAGTTGTGCTGGAGAAAAGTGCAAAACCCTTGACTCATTTTAAAGATATTTTAAATAAAATATTAGTGATCATTTAAATTAATAAACAGTTCTAAGTTTAAAAAAATCAGGAAAACTTTAATTACATTGAAAATTACCAATGTGTCCTGTGTTCTACCAAAGTTTAGAAAATTCTATTTACAATTAGATGACCTTGGAGATTGAGATTAAAAAGGTGAGTTAGTTCCCAGTCCATATTTAACATTTTTTTTTGTACAGAATCCCATTATTATTTTCTCCCTTAGAAAAAATTAGAAGCTAAGTTATGCTATGTTTAGGACAGATATGACTCTGTTTTGGCAGGTAATGGATGTCAGGAATGATTTTCTAATGGCTAGTACAATGTTTTGGGGTTTTTTATTTTTTAATATTATTTTGTAATTGACAAATAACAATTGTACAACAGCACAATGTTTGGTTGTGATTTCTACTACTGTCAAATGTTGTCTTCTGGTGACTAGACCTTTCGCTTTTTGACTGTGTTTAAGCTGGAAGCCCTAAAGCCACTGCAGGGTCAAGCGTCCCCAGTGCAGTGATGGTCATGGGGCCGTCACTACCCACTGAAAGCTGGGAGAGGACAGCCCTGGCGGGGTCTGCAGTGATGGTCACAGGGCCGTCACTACCCACTGAAAGCTGGGAGAGGACAGCCCTGGCGGGGTCAACTCCCCCCCGATGCAGTGATGGTCACGGGGCCGTCACTACCCACTGAAAGCTGGGGGAAGACAGCCCTGGCGGGGCCAAGGAGCTTGCAGTGTCCCATCAACCCTCCTGGAGAGATGCCTGAGACCCGGTTTTACCTATGAGTCTGGCCTCAGGACAGGAAAGATGGGGACACGCACAGCTGAGGCAAGAGCCATGACAGGGCATCTGCTGTCAGCCACATCCACCCCAGAGGGAAGCATGCCCTTACCCCAGAGGTGAGGACACAGAGATCCAGAGGCGGCGCTGGTGCCCTTCACTGGGGCCACACCACAGGGCCTTTCCTTCCTTTGTCAACCTTGCTCTGTGGGCCAGGGGAGCTCACTCAACCTCACTCTCTTTAAACCCTTCATGCCAACCCAGAATCTGGCTCTGCTCATCCTTGCTACGCTAGAGTGGGCTTTACTGTTACTCAGAGGCTGACAAAAATACTTGAGAAGAGTCACTTCCAGCACGACAGAAGGAGGAGGCTGACAAATCATCTTACCTAAAAGCAACTATTATGCCGGACAAAAGTGTCAAAATAATCCTTATGGCACTCCCGAAAATGGCCAAGTCTCTGGCTCAGCTCTGGCACTGAAGGTGGTCAGCCCAGACAAGGCAGGCACTGCAGAGGGGCTCACTGATTCTGAGTGTGGTCGGTGAAAGTGGTGGTCCTGGGGGCAAGCAGACAGGGAAGGTGGCAGCTCCACCACCTGGGGCCGTGGTCAGTCACATTCAGGCAAGCAGCAGGCTGACAGGTCCTTCCTTCCTGCCTGCCTTCCTTCCTTCCTTTTTTCCTTCCTTCCTTTTTTCCTTCCTTCCTTTTTTCCCTCCTTCCTTCCTTCCTTCCTCCTTTCTTCCTTCCTCCCTCCCTTTACATTACAGGAGTTAAGAGTAAACCATACTCCGGGCAACCATCACCCCAAAAGGGAGACAACCAGACCTTCTGTGCCTCCCAATGAAAGTCCACATTCAACACCACCTACGAAGGATTCTTACCAAAGACACCAAAACTGAACTCAGGCAACCCTCCAGATATAACTACCAATTTGCAGAAAATAAAAGGGATAGAAGAACACAAAGATGCAATCAGCAAAATTCAGACAGGACAAGCAATATTTTTTTCAAGAAGAAGAAGAAAATTGAGGGAGTCTGGAAGAGATGTAGAGTAAACTGGTAGAGTGAGACACTTAAGGGATGCATGAGTTCAGAACAAAGTGTAGACCTCGTTGGGATCCCAGTTCAGGCAAGCAAATCTTAAAATGTTCATGAGACTGTTGGAGGAAGGCAAACACAGATAGCATAGGTGTTGACATTAAAGAAATCTTAATTTTCTGTGTGTGGTGACGGTATTGCGGTTATTTTTAAAAGGGAGTCGTCCATGCCTTTTGATGTTATATATTTTTTTAATTACAGATTAACATGATTTTCCAAATGTGCTTCAAAATAATTCACGGGAGTAAGTGAGCTCAGGAATGCAAAATAATAAATTTAGCTACAAGGCGTTTATTGTTGAAGGCAGGCAATGGGCACGTGGGAATTTTTAATATAATTCTCTGCACTTTTGTTCCTGTTAGGAACTTTCCATAATAGAAATTAAAAGAAGAGATGAGGTAGGACAACTGGGATAAGCAGAAGACAAGGGTGGACCCACAGCCTCTCCTCCACAGATTCTGCAGGGCCAGGGTGAGCGTCAGTGCCCTCAGTGCCTGCTCTGAGGCTGGCGTGGCTGGCTTCACTGCCTTCCTGTCTGGCTTCACTGCCTTCCTGTCTGGCTTCACTGCCTTCCTGTCTGGCTTCACTGCCTTCCTGTCTGAGTGCAGCAAGAGGTGGAGGGAGGACTGGCGCAACTTCTGCAGGGGACAATGCTTTGGACACAGCAGTCGTGCAGAGCCCAGTGGGCCGTGTGGGGACAGAGGAGTGTGGGTGTCAAAAAAGGAGACCACCTTTCCATTCTCTTGGGATCCTTCTTCACTGGAAGATTTGGGGCAATGTGCACCGCCTAACCTCCCTCCACTTTCATGTCCTCATGGAGAAAAGGGTTCCTTCCCCCATTCACAGGTTTGTGGTGGTGATCACGGTGGTTTAATGCACTAGTTTGCTTTCCTGATAGGAGGACATAACGGTAGAAGGTGAGAAGGGCAATTCTACCATTTGGTAAGAAAAAATGAAGAAAGTGGGCAACAGAGGCAGTTGTATGAAAAATAAGAACTACTAAATAATCCACAGCCAATTTGCTGTGGTATCCAACTGCTATCTCCAAGACAAGCACCCAAAAGCCACCAGGAGGCCAAACCCCTGATTTGCTTTCATTGGAAATTTTTTTTTTTTTTTTTTTGAGACAGAGTCTCCCTCTGTCGCCCAGGCTGGAGTGCAGTGGTATGATCTTGGCTCACTGCAACCTCTGCCTCCCGAGTTCAAGTGATTCTCCTGCCTCAGCCTCCCAAGTAGCTGGGATTACAGGTGTGTGCCACAACGCCTGGCTAATTTTTTGTATTTGTAGTAGAAACAGGGTTTCACCATGTTGGTTGGCCAGGCTGGTCTCAAACTCCTGACCCCAGGTGATCTGTCTGCCTCGGCCTCCCAAAGTGCTGGGATTACAGGCATGAGCCACCTTGCCCAGCCTTTCATTAGAATTTTTCTAAGAACTGACATTACTTTCAAGTCTTCCGTAATCAAAACTAAAATAACTTTTAGAATAAGGGCAAATTGCCTCCAATAGGGCCTGGATGAGATGATGGAATGGGGTAGGGAAAGAAGAGAGAAGCTGGGCCTCCAGGAGACCCTCGGCTCAGGACTGAGGAGTGTCAGGCCCCGGTGTGTGTGTGGTGTGTGTGCCGGGGGTGTGGAGGGTTGCGTATGTGAGGGTGGGGATTGCAGGTACAGTGTGTGTTCTATGTGTGTCGCATATGCAGGTGTTGCATGTGTGTGTTGGGTTGTTTGTGAGAATTGGGTGTGGGTGCATGTTGGGTGTGTGGAGGGTTTACTTTTGGGTGCTGTGTGCTTGTTGGGTGTGTGTAGGATTGTTTTGGATGGTGTGTGTGTGAAAAATTTCTCTCTTTAAACTCAGACTTTGAATCCTGGAGGTTTTGCTCATAGGTCCCTGGGATTCTAGGAGAAAGGGTATTTTCTTAGGAGAAGCCACATCACTGGACTCTTGAATTGCAATCCAGTACAGCCAGATTCTATTAGCCTTTAGGGTAGAATGTGAAACTTCTCATTTATCTTAAGCACTGAGCCAAATAGATTTTAAAAAAAGAAAGAAAAAATCAACACAGATGTTCAGAAATGGGTCATGAGACAGGGCCAAAAGAGAAGCCTCTCAGATCTTGGGAACTATGAGTCACTTAAAAGGACTCTAGTCCTGGGAGAAATGATACCTACCCTTAAAAAGATTCCCAGTTCACTTTCTGTGGGCTGGAGCATTTTTCAGGCATCCCAGAATTGTTGTTCTTTGTTTTTTGTTTTTTGGGGGACAGAATCTCGCTCTCTCACCCAGGCTGTAGTGCAGTGGTGCAATCTCAGCTCATTGCAACCTCTGCCTCCCAGGTTCAAGAGATTCTCCTGCCTCCTGAATAGCTGGGATTACAGGCGGCTGCCATCACACCTGGCTAATTTTTGTATTTTTAGTAGAGACGGGGTTTCACCATGTTGGCCAGGCTGGTCTCGAACTCCTGACCTCAGGTGATCCTCCCGCCTTGGCCTCCCAAAGGGCTGGGATTACAGCCATGAGCCACCACGCCTAGCCTGAGAATTGTTTTTTTGGCCATAAAATTTCTAAGAAACTATGTGGGGGAAAAACACTTGAATAGAACTTAAATGATAAAAATAATAATATTTATGATTTATAGTGAGTATTTTAATGCTAAATTGTGTTGATGTGAACAGTTTTTTTTTTTAACAACTCATTGATTCATCCATTCATTCACTCGGCAAACATTTCTTTAGCATTTACACTGGGCAGACGGCGTGGCACAGACAGTAAGACACAGCCCATGTCAGGGTCACACTCATAATTCTCTCACCGGACATTTGCTCCCTTCTCTGTGCTAGCTGCCGGGGATGTGGCAGGGATAAGACAAAGTCTGTCTCTGCCCTCATAGAGCTGGCATTCTAGCAGGGAATTCAGACACCAAGTTATTAAGTCCCATGAGGAGAAATCGGGGGGTCAAGGAAGGATTCTTGGAGAAAGTGACAAGCCATCTGCAATCCTGTGGATGTTAGCTAGGCAAAGCAAAGGCTCCTGGGAGGGGAGAGAGAGGGAGGAGGCGATTGTAAATTCAGCAACATCCTGCGGTGATGCTGAGGTGGCTGTGAGTGGGAGAAGTGGGGTGTGTTTGCAGAACTGAAGGAAGGCTCTTGTGTCTGGACCCCAGAGGTGTTGGGGAGAGTTGGGTGGGAGAGGCTGGGGAGGTAGGTGGAGCAAGGTCAGGCGGAGTCTTGGAGGTCATCTTTTGTATTCCATCTATGCTGTGATCAAAAGGATATGGTGATGTGCTTTTGTTTCAGGCCATCAGGATAAATGGTATGGAAGGACATCCCCAAGTCTACTGTCTCCATAGCACTGGGCAACAAGCCTGCCTTTGGTTGGGCCTCCAGGTCACAGCTCATTCTGAAATGAAATGAAATCTCTTAAAGCCTGTGTTTGCATTTTGGGTTGAAAGGGGAGAATCAGCTATGAAAGTACAATGTAAAAAGGAGGAAATATGCCGGGCGCGGTGGCTCATGCCTGTAATCCCAGCACTTTGGGAGGCCAAGGCAGGTGTATCACGAGATCAGGAGTTCGAGACCAGCCTGGCCAACATGATGAAATCCCATCTCTACTAAAAGTACAAAAAAATTAACTGGGTATAGTGGCGGGTGCCTGTAATCCCAGCTACTCCAGAGGCTGAGGCAGGAGAATCACTTGAACTCAGGAGGCGGAGGTTGCAGTGAGCCGAAATAGTGCTACTGCACTCCAGCCTGGTGGCAAGACTGTCTCAAAAAAAAAAAAAAAAAAAGGAGGAAATACTGTTTCTGGTTTTGTTGTGTTGGTCATGATGGTAGTCATCGTTAGTGGACAACATTAGTGGTTTCATATGTTATCTAGTGAATTATAAAAGCACGTGGCTAATAGTGTTCATTTTTCATTCATTACAAACAATTTCTGCATCTGAAATAGAATGAACCTGACTACAGGTTTTTATTGAATCTTGCAGGACTTGACTGTGTGGGTTATACAATACATGAACCTAGTCCTGCATGTGTGTGCATAGATGTGGGATCCATTTTAGATTGCAGAGGGTGTGCAAACTGCTTCTTAATTCTCAAAGGGGTTAGAAAGGCTCAAGTGCATTTAAAAAATATACAGGCATACCTTATTTTACTGCAGTTCGCTTTATTGTGCTTTGCAGATATTGCGGGTTTTTTCACACTATTGTGTTTTTAAACATAATGCTATTACACACTTAAAGGACTACAGTATAGCATAAACATAACTCTTATATGCACTGGGAAACACCAAAATTTGTGTGACTTGCTTTATTGCAATATTTGCTTTATTGTGATGGTCTAGAACTGAACCCACAATATCCCCAAGGTGTTCTTGTAATAGAATTATAGGCCTTTGCGTTGAAAAAGACATTCTGTGGCCATGCTGTATTAGGCAATAAACTCAAAGGGCAGTAAACTCCAGACATAAATAAGGAAGTGTCACGCCACTTATGTCAGCAGTTGTGCATAAAAGGGAATCTTCTACTCAAATCCAGCTCTGACTGGATTTACTGGAGGCTCTGAGCATCTGGTAGGCATTTGATCTTGACCCATGGGAGGGTTCTGTGGACTTCAGAGTTTCTCTCCAAAGTCTTATGCCCATACACATGCCCTGTCTCCTGTAAGCATTTGGTTCATACTGCGTTTAGTATGTATGTGTAAATGTGTATTAAGTATGTTTATTCATACAAAATATAAACGACTTCACATATTAGGCTCTATGTGTATCTTTTTCAGAGAGGTCTCCTGGCTTTGCTGGCTCTTTATAACCAAATAACCACAGAGGCAGCAAACACCTTGACCTGGCAGATGGTCCTATGCCATTACTGCATATCTGAGCTCACAAAGGCCCTGGGATCAGCTCTGGAACCAGCCTCTACCTTTCCCCAGACCAGGGAAAAGGGGAAAGGTTAGAAACTTACACATTGTAAAGATATACCTGGCCGGGCACAGTGGCTCATACCTGTAATCCCAGCACTTTGGGAGGCCGAGGCGGGCGGATCACAAGGTCAGGAGTTTGAGACCAGTCTGGCCAACATGGTGAAACACCATCTCTACTAAAAATACGAAAAATTAGCCGGGCGTGATGGCAGGTTCCTGTAATCCCAGCTACTCTGGAGGTTGTGGCAGGAGAATTGGTTGAACCCGGGAGGCGGAGGTTGAGGTGAGCCACAACCATGCCACTGCACTCCAACCTGGGCAACAGAGCGAGACTCCATCTCAAAAAAAAAAGATACACTAAGGAGTGGAAATTAAAAATGTTTTGTACAGATTTGAGCACTTACAGTCCAAGACAACCAGTTGCCTAAAATCTGGGTGTTGCAGATAGAAATACTCTAAAGGGTTAGGATGGTTTCTATGGGTAACTCCTGAGCCTATGTTTCTAAGGAGATGATCTGTTGATTGTTAATGAGTCCTGTGAGTGCTTTAAAAAAGAAAAATGGCATCGTATTTGAGAGATCTAGACTAAAACTAATTGTCACACACTTCAGGAAATATGACAGAAGAAAAGGCTTTTAATTTTTTTTATTTTCTCATTATTGAAAAGGTCACTGATCAGTTGAGTACAGATGAAAGGTTCTTAGAGTAGATCAATGACCTGTTGTTAGTGAAATTCTTGGGGTCTGAATCTTAGCTATTTAGAGTTTTACATTATCATCTCTAAATGTTTTGTCTATTATAATAATGAATAACCAGCTGGGCGCGGTGGCTCACGCCTGTAATCCCAGCACTTTGGGAGGCCGAGGTGGGCGGATCACGAGGTCAGGAGATCGAGACCATCCTGGCTAAAACGGTGAAACCCCGTCTCTACTAAAAATACAAAAAATTAGCCGGGCGTGGTGGCGGGCGCCTGTAGTCCCAGCTACTCGGGAGTCTGAGGCAGGAGAACGGCGTGAACCTGGGAGGCAGTGCTTGCAGTGAGCTGAGATCGAGCCACTGGACTCCAGCCTGGGTGACAGAGGGAGACTCCATCTCAAAAAAATAAAAATAAAAAAAATAATAATAATGAATAACTAACAGACTAGAGTTTGTAGAACTTTTGATATACATTATTTCATATGATAGAGTTTAAAGTCAAAAGTAACCAGAGAAGTCTTTTAACTTGTACCTAAAACAATTTTGATAACCTATTGTGTTTATGGCAATTTCCTTTATTAATGTCTTCACTCTTTCTTGGGAATCACTACTGCAAAATAGTTAAAAGAATATCTCTAGTTTCACTAAGTAAAAAACCAACAAACCAATTGAAAAATTGTCAAAGGGTAGAATAGCTTATTTATAAAATATAATAAACAAGCCCTAAATGTATGAGAAGGTGTTCAACCTCATCCATAATAAGATAAATGTGAATTCAATGAGAATATCTTTTATCACCTATAAAATGGGCAAAAATTCAAAGTGTGACAGCACATTCTGCAGATGAGGCCATAAGAATAAATAGATGTTTACACAATCTGCAGGAAAATGTGCTAATTGAAGGGAAATCCAGGAATGTTACGAAATCATAAAAGCTGAAAAATCAAGAATCTTTCAACCTGGAAGTACCACCTCTGGAAATTTACCCAACAGATACACTTACACATAGGAAAAGATGAACATCAAGATCATTCATGACTGTACTGTGTGAATAGACAAGAACTGAAAGTGTCCATCAATCCTGAACTGGTTAAATCATGACACAGTCATGTGACAGAATATGCAGCATAAAAGAATGAGAAGGATTTGTATCCTGCTATGGAAAGAGCTATGAGATATATAAATAACAGAGAAAAAAAGGTGTGTAGAGCATACTACATTTTGTGGAAGGAAGGTAGAAGAAACAAAAAGCATATATTTGCATGTGCTTGCATTTTCATTAAAATCTCCAAAGGTATATTCCAGAAACTACTAAAAGTTGTCAACTGCGTATTAGAGTTGGGGTCAGGAGTGGGCAAAGAGAAAACAGGCAGGACCAGAGTAGAAGCAAGACTCCTTACAGCATGCCTTCTAGAATTTTTTTTTAAACCAGGTGATGTGTTACCTATGTTGAAAAGAAACTAAAGTCATTCAAAAATAAAAATGTGGGCTCCAGAATGAGCTTTCCTGGGTTCAGATCGAGTCCCTGTCACTTAGCGGATGTGTGGCCTCTTAGGCATCTTATGCCTCTTGTCATTTATTTCCTAATCTTTGAAATGGGAATAATAATAGTGCCTAAATTACGAATTTGGAATTCAAAGAGGATAGCACTTGAAAAGTATTTACAAGGGTGCCTGGCACCTATTAAGCATGTAATATAGGTTTGCCATCATTATTTCTAAGCCAGTGATTCACTGGGAGAGGCGACACATTGGATTTGAGGAGAAGTGCATTCTAAGAAGATTAGCATTTAGAACACCAGTTATTAGGTTAGAAAAAAATTAGAAATGAGTTTTATTAAGCAGAATAAATCTTGATCTTGAGAATTAAACTTGAACTATGATTTTAAGAGGAGGTATGTAAATATATTTTTCATTCAGAATAAAACTACAGTGCTTAAGACAAAGTGAGCAGTTACTGGATGAAGCTTTGCTAGCTAAAAGGCCTGAGGCTTGCTTAAACAACAGTAATAATACTATCTTTTGTTTTCACATTACTCCGTATCATCTTTTATTGTATATCATCTTACATGTATACACTGTCTCATTTACTTTCCTTAAGATATTCCACCCAGCTGTGTGAGTTGGCATTTTAAGTGCTTATTGGCAAATATGACAGTAAAATGAGAACAAGTCAGGGAAAGAAGTTTCCAATCTCTGTTTGTACAACCTTAAGCCAATCTCTACCACCTCAACGGGCGGCGTCCCTGCAGATGGTACAGAAGTAGAGATGGCAATAAATCTAAAAGCTGAGTAAGCACTATATAAGGAACATTCATTTAGCAATTCAGGATCTGCTTATTTTAATTTGATCTTGTACTGTGCCAAACACTGATGAAACCACGATGAGTAGAATATGGTCTGTACCTTCAGTAGCTCAGAGAGGGACTGGTGTGTCCACAGGTTACCATGGTGAGAAGCTCAGAACTGCAGTGCAGATATGTGGGAGGTACAGGGGTGGAGGAGGGAGGGTAAGGGTTTCACAGGTCAGCAAGACACTTGTTTGGTTCAGGTGAAAGATTTCCACCTTGGCAGGAAAGGAGCAAAGACTTTGGAATGTAGCTTTGAATCACTTTTGGGGCTTTATTAATTTTTGTGAGACTCAACTTCTTCATCTGTTAGATGGGCTGATAATTCAACTTTCAGAGAAGTTATGCAAATTAGAAATAATGTATAGGTAAAGCAGCTAGAACCGAGCCTGGTATACAGCAGATACTCAATGGACGGTAGCAGTAATGATGACTAGCCACTGGAATATAGGGTCCTTAGGGATGGGGATTTTTTTTTTTTTTTTTGAGACGGAGTCTCCCTCTGTCTCCCAGGCTGGAGTGCAGTGGCACAATCTCAGCTCACGGCAACCTCCGCCTCCTGGGTTCAAGAGATTCTCCTGTCTCAGCCTCCTGAGTAACTGGGATTACAGGTGCCCACCACCACACACGGCTAATTTTTGGTATTTTTAGTAGAAACGGGGTTTTGCCATGTTAGCCAGGTTGGTCGTGAGCTCCCTATCTCAGGTGGTCCGCCTGCCTCGGCTTCCCAAAGTGCTGGGATTACAGGCATGAGCCACCGCGCTTGGCCGAGGATGGGAATTTATTTGCTGGTTTTATTCACTTTTATATGCCTCAATGTTTCTAGAACAATGGCATTTAGTAAACATATGTTAAAATAAAAGGATGATGGAAGGAGACAATAGCAGAGAAAACAGCACATGTAAAGGAAATGCCCGCTTAGTCTGGAGGTAGCAGGGAAGTCACATGGTTGGGCACACACCTGTGCGTGTGTGCGCATGGGCTGGCACTCGTCGGGAGAGAGGCAAGGGCGGGGCAGCGAGGAGGTGTCTCTAAAGAAATTTGAACAGCAGGTCCTGCCATCAAGTCGATCTGATATTTTAAGAGACATCATCCATAACATCACTTTTTATAATCCCCAAATACTTGCTTCTGGAAGGAGAGAAGATCTGACAGGAGGTATTGGGATTTGGTTCTGTGATCTAAAAGAGCCATAAATCTTAGGTTCTTTTTAACTAGTGCAGCCCAGGATATAAACACTGTAACTGTATTTGGATTTAAGTTCCGCCTCTTCCTGTGAAGCGAGGAGCTGCTTTGCAGGGGAGTATGAAATGCACACAGGCAATCTGCATGTTTGGCGTTTTCAAGGTTCAGAGTTACCTGATAAACCAAAATACTTCAGGCCTCAGCTTCCTCAAGCTGCTAAACTCTGCCTGCCACAGCAAGTGTGGACAAGGTGATTTGAAGCCCCCTTTAACCAGGTCCCAAATGACCTAGGACATTTGGATGTGGAGGGTTGATCCTGAGTCTAGCTTTGACTAAACTTAGAAGAGAGAGACTGAAGGTAAGAAAAGTTAAGTTGTTCCTGCTTTTACAAACGCTTCTCAGGAAAGCCCTCTGGTTCCAGAAATGCTGTGGATAAGTAATCTGAAACCTCTCCAAATCCAGATATCTCTAAGCGCTAGGAAAATGTTAGCAAACATCCTTTTAAAACAATAACAGTTAATATATAGTGAGCACTTGTTAGATACTATACTAACTACTTTATGTGCTTTATTTTGCTTAATTCTCCATGGGCCAACAAGCAGAACTATTCAAAAAATGATCCTGAGATCTCAGTCTACATGATCTAGGAAATGAGCTGGCTGGAACTGGAGTTTCCCCGCCTCCTCGAAGGAGGATGTGCACCTAAACTCAGTTTCCCACAGGACCAGCCGCAAACATTCCCCAAGAGGAGAGCTGCCCCTCTCCCCAGGACCCATGTTCCCTGGGTGCCAGGCAGCTGGCCTTCCTCAGATGCCTTCTCAGCTCTGCTGGCATCTAGACCCCGACGGCCTGGCAATCGAGTGGTCCCCCTGTCTCCTTACTGGAAAGTGGTGTTCGTGTTCATCCTTCGAGGAGATAGGACACTCAGGTCAGGACTGCAGCCCACTGCATGGCAAAGAGCTTTGTCTTTGCATTGGTTCAGTTTTCCATAGGATTATGAGAAGATGGAGACCCCTATGCCTTTGGGGCCTGACTCCTAGTTTCTAAATTTCCCCAGTAAATGCCATTCCTTAGTTTGCACTATGTGGTGTTGTAGAATCTATCCCAGTGCCCATTGAGCCCCATCCTTGCAGCAAATGTATAAGTTAGGAATTACTATGTTTAGTTAGAGATGAGGAAGTTGAAGACACAGACAAGTTAGCTAGTAAGTGGTAGGATTTGAAACCCAGTCATCTGATTCCTGAGCCTGTGATCTCAGAGAGGCTGGTAAACTCAATGGATCTGGCAATTTATAAAGGTCTGAATGAGTGCTCAACTCTTCAAGGAAGCACCCATGTGGAAGTTCACATCTAAGCACAGGTTCCAATCTCAGCTGCAGCACGTAGCCTAGATTTAGTCTTCAGTGGTGCCTTTTACTTTCTCCTAAGTCTCAGGCTCATGGCACCTTGGGGCCAGCTCCATGGAGAAAATAAGCTGAGAAAAGGAAGGAAGCAACATGGCTGGGTCTACAGAGAAGACGCAAGCTTCACTCTCACTCACTGCATGTCCAGGACAAAGCATGGGAGACGGAAGCAAACATCTTTTTAAATGTGGAGCTGAGCTTGCAAAAAAGTATGGGCTGCTTCCGGGATCAGAATAGAAAAAGGAGCCCATAGGCTGAGGCAGGCTGGGGGTGGGTGGGTGGCATCCCAGGGACGTAGAGCTTGGGCTTGCAGCCGCTCAGCGTAAGCGAGGTGGGCGCTGAGAACCGTGCTTGAATCCTGCCTCTCACCAGGGCCATTAGGGATTGCTGTCTCAGTGAGCGAGCAGCATAAAGGAAACGCCTCCCATCAAACAGCTATGGTAACACTGGGCCTTTCTGCCTTTTCTGGACTGGGAGTGGACAAAAGTCTCCCCCGGGAATTCTCGTCAATGGCCCTGCAGCACGTGGAGGTGAACTATGCAGATTCAGAAGAGCTGGGAAGCTATATTCATAACAAGCTTAACATTATGGTAAAACATCATTATTAAGAATTTTTAAGGCACTAAACAATAAGAAAATAGGCAATTCTATTTTCTTTCAACCCTAGTAACATCATCTCAATGTATTTAAAGCAAAACTTGACAGGCTTACAAGGAGAAAATGGAAAAACTACTAACTTAGTTATCCCTAAATTATAATAAACTCTGTGAGGGAAGGCACCTCAAAGCTTTGCTCACTGTTTACTCCAAGGGGCTAGAACAGCAGGTGCTTGATTAATATTTGTTAAAGGAATTGGCAAATAATGCCAGAAAAAAAAAAAAGTCAAGGATTTTGTCCTGGCCCTTCTGGAGCCACTTAAGGTGGTTTGAAAGATGACAGAGTAAGTTCCCATTCCCAGGGGACGTGTCACCAGAGGCCAAGTGCCCCGTCACTGGAGGGTATCAATGGAGGCTGTGCAGTCCAGCCCTGGAGGGATTCATGTTGCCTCCTGGGATCTCTATAGAGGAAATTCAACCACCCAAAGGAACAAATTAGTTCTATGATCATGTGGCTTATTTGGATATGGAGTAATTCCTTCTTGGCGATGTCCCATGCTCAAGAGAGGGACAGTCAGTGACAATTTGGGCCTTCTGGGGTGTGTATGATCTGGCACACAGCACACTCCTAAGTGTGATGTTATACAATCTATCCCCTTCATTCATTAGCAATGAAAGGTTTTAGAGCACAGCAAGCGCATTTCTATGCTGTTTCTAGCTATGCAACTAACAAAGTTGACGCTATTAACTGTATATAGGCAATTCTGCATTCCCCTAGTAGAATACACACATTCTAGTCAAGCCCCCACGGGACGTTGCCTAAAATTGACCAAGAACTAGCCTGAATGTAAATCTCAATAACAAACAAGAATTAGGGCCAAGTGTGGTGGCTCACACCCGTAATCCCAGCACTTTGGGAGGCTGAGGCGGGTAGATCACGAGGTCAGGAGATCGAGACCATCCTGGCTAACACGGTGAAACCCCACCTCTACTAAAAACACAAAAAATTAGCCGGGCGTGGTGGTGGGCGCCTGTAGTTCCAGCTACTCAGGAGACTGAGGCAGGAGAATTGCTTGAACCTGGGAGGCAGAGATTGCGGTGAGCCGAGATTGCACCACTGCACTCCAGCCTGGGCAACAGAGTGAGATTCCATCCCCAGAAAAACAAAACAAGACAAAATACAAGAATTAGTACGCACTAGATTCTCCAGCTAATATCCAGTTAAATCAGAAGTTAACAACGAAACCCACCACCACCCCGGATGGAATGATGACAGTTCCATAGTTTCCTTTGGGATCCTTGCCCTATTCGTTTTCTCATCTTTGTCAGGTCCCCCAAGTCCAGTCCCTGCACACAGGAGGCAAGGTGGGCATGTCTGTCTTGTTTTCAGCTTTAAAGAATATGACACACGAAGGGTGTGGTTAATTGTGGAATTTTCTTTTCCTTTTTTTTTTCTGAGACGGAGTTTCACTTTTGTTGCCCAGGCTGGAGTGCAATGGCACGATCTCGGCTCACTGCAACCTCTGCCTCCCGGGTTCAACTGGTTCTCCTGCCTCAGCCTCCCAAATAGCTGGGATTACAGGCATGTGCCACCATGCCTGGCTAATTTTTTTGTATTTTTAGTAGAAATGGGGTTTCACCATGTTGGCCAAGCTGGTCTTGAGCTCCTGACCTCAGGTGATCCGCCCGCCTCAGCCTCCCAAAGTGCTGGGATTACAGGCGTGAGCCACCACGCTGGGCCCAATTGTGGAATTTTTGTAGCTGTGTTTTCCAGGTTAAGGAATTTCCCCTCTATTCTTTTTCCCTGTGTTTCAGTGAAACAACATTGAAATGTATCAAATGTTACGGTTTGACAATGCTGAGTGGGAAGTATATGTGAGTGCATTACTGTATTTTCTAACTTTTTCTATACACTTTCAATATTTCACAATTAACTAACAAACAAACACACACACATGCTTTTCACCAGCAAAACGCCCGCTCAAATGTCCTTCTTAACAATAGCAGCCAGTATGGAGCACCAGCCACACACAGTATTTTTAGATGATGCCTGTTGAGTAAGAAATTTATTCAGAAAAAAAAAAAGGAAATGAGCTCCAATTTTCTTGTACAGTAGTATGTTATGATACTATGGGTCATACATTGTATAAAGCGCCTCTCAGTTATTGGACAGAAAACTCCTGAAAATTAGTTTGGGGCCACCTTGATGCTCAATTGGCATCTATTTTCATGTGTTTTGCTTACTTTATAGTAAAATGAGGCCTTTGGGAAATAATGGTCATAGTACATCTACTCTATGTGATACAGATAATAACTCATCTATTTAAGTGAAGTGATAATATTAACAGTATTTATTATATGTCAACTATATGTGTGAAATAAGAGTTCAAAGCACAGACCCTGAAGTCAAATCATCTGGGGTGAAATGCCATCTTGGTTGGTTGCTTCCTGGTTATGTAGCCTCTAACAAGGTACTTTGCATCCCCGGGCCTCTGTTTCCTCATTTGTAAAGTGGGCATAATGACAGCACCTAGGTTTTAACACCGTGCGAGGATTATAAGCCAACAAAACATGTGAGTGCCAATGCATAACTCACAGCGAGTGAGAGAGTCCGGTGCTTCCCAAGCCCTTGCTAACTGCCAGGATCTGCGCCCAGTGCTTTGCCCACGTTGTCTGCATTAATCCTTCAGTGTCTTGAGAGATATCCCTCTATTATGCCTACTTTACACATGAGGTCATTGAGGTTTGTGGTTGCTTAATCCCTGCCTTATGACTGGTGTTGCTCATGTATAGGATCTGTTTGATGCTGCCTCCTTGATTAGAAATAAATCCCTGATTTTTATCATTGTTCCCATGAGAAAATATTATCCACTTTGCAATGATTTACTTACGGTGGTGTTTTGGGGAAGGCACTCAAGCAAACCATGAAATGAAATGAACAATTCACTAAATCAAATAAAGGAAAAGGAATTACAAAGCCAGCAGGGCAGAGTGGAATGGAAACAGCATCAACCTGAGAACCAGGACGCCTGGGTCCTGCTCCTGGTTCTGCCTCAGATTACCGTCTGTGAAATGACAGGCCTCGTGCACATGGTAATCAGCTTCCCTTCTATCTGTGTAAGCAGTGGCTTGAGAACGAGGGGACCAGAATCCTTGTTCTTGTTGCTTCATTTCTCTGCCTTCAGATTTCTTGCCTGTCACCTTAATGGATTGAAGCCAGGAACTTCAAGACTCACTTCCTGTTCTAATATTTCCTTTGCCAGAAAAATTATTCCCTTTATCAGAAGTTATATGTCTCAGAGGTTTTAGAAACAATCAGGTCTAGTGCTGAAGAAGTAGCAATGCTGAAAAAGTTTACAGATTTATTACACAGTCGTTAGTGTGCAGTTATTAATTTGGGGAAATGTCATGGTTAAAGGCGGCTACAATTTTCTGAGTATTGTGTTATGATGTCGTTGCCATGCGTGTTTTATATCATAGGGACATTGGGAAAGATTTACATTTTTTTTTTTTAGGAAAAGTAAGAACATATTACTTTTGTTATAACACTTGATATTCCTATTCTGTGAGATCCTGCATGCACACTACACAATTTGGAAAACATTTTGCAACAGATGGCATAAACAGACCCAGATGAAACTGATTATTTAATCAGACTAACCTCTTTCCTTGGCTGATGACATGCACTTTCCAGCATTCCAATTTGTTATAACTTTAATCAGTTTGGACTCCCTTGGTTTTAAAGTATCTATGTCATAAACAGTCATATGTAGGAAAAAGATTTGAAATCTCTCCAAATCCAAATGTGAAGCTTTTCAGCCAAGCTCTAGAAGGAAAGAAAATGTGGGAAGAAGAGCAGATAGGCAGCCAAGACGGGCGACTCCGAAATGTCCGATTTTGCCTTTACTGGAGCTATTGACTTCATTCGGGACCCAGGGCAACTACTCCTGCTTACCTAGGTCTCATTTATCCCAACTGTAAAGTGAGGATAATAGCCATTTATGTACCTTGAAGGGGTAAGGCTGCGATTAATTAGTTAATGTGCTCAGTGTGCTTTGAAGTGCTAAGTGCTATTAAGCTTCATTTAGATTACCCTAATAATTTCATGAACTCGGGGTTCTTTCCACCAGCTGAGCAGCTGGGATCTCTTGATCAGATTTTTCAAATGGCAGAGCAGTTTTAATGCAAACACCTCAAAACTGGTTCGTACTGGTACTTCACATTAAGAAAAAGAGTTAAACCCTTGAGCAATTACCATGTCCCAGTGTACCAGAGGGCAGGATAATCTCTTCATGATAATGGAGGTAAATATTAACACCTTTTCCCCTTTCGCTTGGTTCCCTCTCCCCTAGTCTTTTATATCTCTTAGAGTTTCACAGTCTGAAATGTTTGCAACAGAAATTCAGAGTCATGACCTTACACAGCTCAGGAACCTGCTTGGCAATAGGCTGGCCGTGATGCGCCATGCTCCCTGGTCCTGAGCGCACGACATGGGGGTGTGGGTGTCTCGGCCGGGTGCTTACTGTTGCCGCAGACACAGTTTCAACCGGTAGGGAACAGGGGTCTCCGTTTATCATCTAAGCCCCCGTTGAAGAAAACCCTAGAAAGAAGATGGAGGTTTCGAACGGGCTTAGTCTGAAGAGGCACCCAAACTCTTTGAAAACAGCTTATTGAAACACACTGGAGCTGCACATATCAGAGCTCGCTTTCTTTCAGGCGCTTCCTGGAGGTCAAGTAAGCGGTGGGGTGGCCAGGCAGGGGCTGGCGGTGCAGCCGGGGCCCACGGCCCGCACACTTCGCGATGCCCGGGGTCCGAGCACACATTCTGCAAGCTGCCTGGCGCCAACCTGCCCCCGCCCCCAGGGTAAACCTTTCCCAGGCGTGCCAGGCAGGGGTCCGGGAAAGGACAGTCAGGGCCTCGGCAGTGTGGTCCGTGGCTTGGGGAAATGCATCCTTCCCACCGTCAGTGGTCTGCCCTCCTCGCAAACAGGCAGCGGGTTTAGAAGTGGTTCCAGATCCATCAGCGTTGTGGGGAAAGTTGCTGATAGGAAGAGAAAGTCAGTGGATTCCACGTCCCGGGCCAGGCCCATTGGCTTGCAGGAGAAACTTAGTTATTCAGTCTGGTCTTTGCTCATCCAGTCTAAAAGCTACCCAGGGGTCCTGGGCAGCAACGTCAGAAAATACTTAGGGATAGAAGTGCAAGTTTTATTTAAAAAACAACAGACACTGTTGAGGGTGGAGGGTGAGAGGAGGGAGAGGGGCAAAAAAGATAACTGTTGAGTACTGGGTTTAGTACCTGGGGGATGAAAGAATCTGTACGACAAACCCTCGTGACACGGGCTTACCTATGTAACAAACCTGCACATGTACCCTCGAACATAAAATAAGTTAAAACAATGTAACTGAGGAAAATAAAACTCATAAGAAGCATAGTCCCTTTCTTACCTTTCTCCAGTCCTTTAATTTGGTTCCTTTGGATATATCTTCCACGTTTGTGGCTCTTATTTGAGGATTGCGTGACAAGGACTACTTACCTTTTTTATTGTATTTAATCAGTACTTTCTAAATCAAGATACAGGAGAAAATATGTTCTGTTTTTTAATTTAGTAGGCTAGCGTGAATTTGATGTAGATAAGACACCCTGGCTTGGTGTTGCATTCTCTGCTGGATAAACATTCCTGGCATATGTAATGTGTGTATCACGGAGATAGCACAGGGAGCCGAGCTGCGATAACTTGCTGGGCCTTTCTAACGAGTGGGTTGAGTGATTTCACTCCAGGCCTGTCCAGTGGTGCATGAGCTGAGGGTTTCCCATGGTCTGATTGGCAGGCCTGACTCTCTGAGAGTAGCCAGCCTTTCTGCTCCTAGACACTTGATGTGTTTACACAAAAGTGATGGGATCAATTCTATCTGGAACAGAGCAGCCCAGCGTAAAGCATCTGAAGGACAGAGGCTTCGGGGATGAAGATTCCCCTAAACCACGTTATTAAGTACTTTTCGTTTTGTTTAAGACGGAGTTTTGCTCTTGTTGCCCAGGCTGGAGTGCAGTGGCGCGATCTCGGCTCACTGCAACCTCCGCCTATGGTTCAAGTGATTCTCCTGCCTCAGCCTCCCAAGTAGCTGGGATTACAGGTGCGTGCCACAACAGCCGGCTAATTTTTGTATTTTTAGTAGAGACAGGGTTTCACTGTGTTGGCCAGGCTGGTCTCGAACTCCTGACCTCAGGTGATCTGCCCACCTCGGCCTCCCAAAGTGCTGGGATTACAGGCAAGAGCCACTGAGCCCAGCCTATTAAGTACATTTTTAAGAGGAACAATTCACTACCATGGCATCTATTTTTAAAAGTCTGTAACTGTTAGAAATAGGCCTGAAAATGATATTAGCCTACACAGACGCATAAGTTAACATAAATTGTAATGAATACCTTTGACAGAAAAATTGGAATGCAATAATTGATACGGGAAATGAGTTTAGTGAGTCTGTCTCACTTTTCTTGCTGTCTTCCTGGGGCTTGGACAAAATCTCCATTTTTTGTTTCAAGTCTTTGCACACTTTTTTCTAAAGTGATCAGCGTATATTTTCCTGCCTTGCTACACTCAATATTATTGAACCTAGTTAAATTGTTTTCATTAATAAGCAATAGAGCCAACTTTAGCAAGTCTCTTCCTAAGAGCTGCTAAGCCCTTCAGGACTCTGGCTGGAGTCCTCTCCTCTATCTGCTGTCCTGGCTTTACCCTTAGGCAGAAGGGTAAAGTTGGTCTCAAACTTTTGAGTAACCAAAGGAGCAGGAGTGGTAAGATCTGCAGAAAATCCACACCCTGGGTCATCGGGATGAAGAACTAATTATTGTCAGAGGGAAAAGTGAGCCCCGCAAGACAGGGACAGAGTCTTGTACACAGTGACTGTACGATGCCGGCACCTCCAGATGGGCTGAGCCCGAGATAGTTTTTTGCAGTATTACCCACGAGCACTGTCAGCCCCTGGGATGTGACTACAGTTGTCACAAGCAACAAAGGGATTCCACTGCTTGGGATTTAACAGAGACCAACATGACTGTATCCTTATGTCTGAAAGAGAACACCATGCCTTCATACCTCGATTAATTAAATGAGGCAATTGTGGGAAATAAATCCCACAGTTGGGGCATTGTCTTTCCTTCTAGGCCCCTTTCTCAAGGCTTCCAGGCCTGTCCTCCTGTGCTCTGTGCTGTGTGCAGAGCTCGTGTTTCGTTCTGTTCTGCTCATCGCCCGTGACTGCTCCCCCCATCGTGGCGCTCCGTCCTTCCTGCTGCGCCTTCTGAGTTTTTCTTCCCCAGTTGCTGGTTCAGGCTGCGAGGCCTGAGTCTTTCTCACCTACACATGTAGAGCAGCGTTAGCTGTGTGCTGCCCAGATCCAGAGAACCATTTCTCTGCCTTCAAAACATTGTTCAAGGACTGCTGCCTGGCCTGCCCCGGAAACATGCTTCTATCTTCATGGAACTGTGGGTTTCTTTGTTGCCTGGCCATCGGTGCTTCGTTGCAGTAGGGGCTGTGGTTATGGCCGGGGTAGGCACAGTGAATTCCAGATTGGTCCACGCTGAAGAAGGCTCCTCGATGACAGAAAAGTTGGAGAACACAGAATAAATAAATCTTGTGCCCCTCTTTCAAACACTCAGTGATGTCGGCTGCCAGCAATTTCCCCGTTTCATCCCAGAGTGTGTTTAATCAAGTGTTTCTCTCTATTGCACTGTCTGGGAGGAACATTTTTTCTCCAGTTGCTGGGCAATATATGTCCTGATGACTTGAATATCCTCCCAATCGCACCACGTATGTTGAAAGGAGGCTTTCTATTCACTGTTTCCTAATGGTGGCATTATTCATCTCTGTTTCAGATAAGCGCCTAACACAATTTTTGGTTTGGTTCTGCCCTTTTGAAGGAGAATTGTAACTCTTTTCTGCTTATAGAGTTATTGGGAATATTAGGGTAGCAGCCCTTTGGAATATTTTTGTCTTAACACAAAGCAGAACGGAGAAAGTGAGCTTAATGTCACAAAGAAGTAAGACCCGTGGTGGGAGCAGGAGCTTGCCTACGCAGCCTAGCAGCCCGCAGCTAGCAGCTCTCACTGGGCCCCCTGGCCCAGCAACCCTGGCCTAGCTCAGCAGTGGCTGCACGCACCCCAGAGAAGCACAAGATCCCGCGGGGAGCCTGAGAACAAGTTCGTAGCTTATCTAAGAAAGCCGTCAGTGTTGATCAAGGGTATGGCTTCTGATAACATTTTCACTCCAACTCCAAACAGAATGACCTAACTTGCCACTCCTGTGAACGTCTGAAGTAGGTTTAGTCACAAAGAAGAAAGTACTAGAACCCTTGCAATAATTTTGTTTGTTTTCATGCTTATTACTCAGCATAGGTCTAGAAAAAGGCTGGCAAACTTATTCTGTCAGGGACCTGGTAGTAAAGATGTTAGGCTTTGTGGGCTGGGCTGTACGAATACCCAGCTCTGCCGTGCAGCCACAGACCATCCACAAGCAAATGGGCTTGGCTGTTTCCCAGTAAAACTTTATTTATAAAAACACTGGGCTCCTGGGGCTGGATTTGGTCTGTGGCCAGCAGTTTGCTGACACCTGGTCTAAGAAGACAAGTGTATAATGTTCTCTAAACACCTCGACATGGGCTTTGCTCAGTAGCCAGGTCTGGGTCTCTGCTTTCTAGAAGCTCCCAGAGGCCAGGGCGGAGTAGGGCTGTGTCCCTCCCATGAGCTGTGGGAGGGCTGCTCTCCGCCCAACAAGGTCTCTGCCCTACCTCCCTGCCCTCTGTCCGGAATCCTCTTCTGCTTTCTACCCAGAAATTCTCAGAGTGCAAGAGGCTGGGCTCCTGGGCGCAGCAGGAGCTCTGAGTCTTTCTGGTTCCTACATGACTGAACTAGGCATTGGAGCCTCTTCCCCGTTGTCTCTAAACCTAGATTTTACTTCCTGAACTTCTGGAACATGAAGCTTGCGCTCTATCAACCAAACCTCGAAGTCTCCCAATTATAAAAGAACAGCAGGGCCGGGCGTATTGGCTCATGCCTGTAATCCCAGCACTTTGGGAGGCCGAGGCGGGCAGATCACTTGATCCCATGAGTTCGAGACCAGCCTGGCCAACATGGCGAAACCCCATCTCTACTAAAAATACAAAATTAGCCAGGGGTGGTGGTGGGCGCCTGTAATCCCAGCTACTCAGGAGGCTGAGGCATGAGAATTGCTAGAACCCAGGAGACAGAGGTTGCAGTGAGCCCAGATCACACCATTGCACTCCAGCCTGGCCAACAGAGATACTTCGTTGCAAAAAAAAAAAAGAAAAAAAAAAGTAGAAAATCTAGGACCATTATGTCCATGGAGAATCAAACAAGCTCACCGGAATGTTTTTGAACTTTACACACATTTGCAAACAGACTGAAATAACCTGAGTAGGAGACTGGTGGGGCAGATAAATAGTTACTAAATGATTTTGAAGTTCGACTTTGAATAGTTACCTGAATAGACTTTGTTAGCTTTGGTAGATAATATATTTGGTAGTTAGCCCTGTATTCCTATTGTCTTTGCTATTTAATATAGCAAATGTTCAAGAGTTTAGGAGACTAGGAGGCTATGGAAACACAAATCCTGACTTTCGTGTGTTTCCTCCTGCAAAGTGCTCTTCCTTGCTTGTGTTAACAGGAGTACAACAGGAAACCACGTTCCATTAGATAGCAATCCTGGGAAAACCATTGAAAGAAGAAACATTCTGAGCATGCTTTGTGAATAGAAGAGTGGATTTAAACAAATTAACCAACATTTAAATTCCTCATCTGTGGGTTATTGCCAGAATAAATTCAGTGCTTGCCTTGGCCAGAGTTTGTTTGGTTTTAAGGGGCCAAACCCCACCACAGCGTAGTAAAAGGAAGCCTTACCAGAAATACACAGGAAGCCTCTGGGACCAGGGGCAGGTGCAGGAGCTGGAAGGGGGCTGGAAGCAGCGGGGCTCTCTCCTGTCCTCCCTGCCTCCTACCCCAGGTCTCTCCTCTCAGGCTTAACATGGGGAATTGTACATTTTCCAGCATTTCTTTGCAAACCAGCCTTCTCTGCTTGCTTCTTGGTGTGCTTAGTTCCTAGTGGGCATCCCCAGAAGATCATCTCATTTCTAGAATCCTCACACCTCAGAGAGGGTCAAAAACTTAGAAGGACCTTCATATTTGTATATCAGGTTAATAAATATTTATTAATTTGATGGCTTGACAGATTGAATAAGTTTGGTATCTAAAGATAACCAGAAATTTCTTGGCCAAACTTGATATTCCTGGGATGGAGAAGCTACTTGGCTGGACTTGAGCCAGTGTCCAAGATTTGTCCAGCCAGCTGTGAGGCTGTGACTCCCTGCACCATGGGGGCCATACCTTGTATCATCAAGAGGGTTTGCAGAAGAGGCCTGGGCATCCCAAAAGGTACCCACTCTTGTGCTTTCACTTATTCTCAACACCAGGTTACCGAAATCAATGAGCTATCAATTTAACAAGTGACTTAGGTCATGTCACAGCCCAAACAATTTGGTGGGCTGCTAAGCTAGATGCTCCTTAGACCCTGATGTATGTGCAGTTGGTGATCTCTTGGCAGAAGGGGAAGCGTGGACTCTAGTGAAATAGTCTATTCCCATGTCCAGCCTGGACTGTTCTGTCGCTGATTCACTACAAGGCTACATTGGGGCTGGGGAGGGGGGGACATTCATCGACTTAAGACAATTTGCCTTTTAGGACCATGTAAGTTTAGACATCGTGCTATGTCATGTTCTGGACTAGAACGCTCCACTAGAAAGACAGGCGTTGACCCTAAGGGCACTACCCTACAGTAGGGTGGCCATTTGTCCTGCCTTGCCTTGGACCATCTCAGTTTTAGCACTAAAAGTCCCATGGTCTCGGAATTCCCTCAGTCTCAGGGAAGCTGGGATGGTTGGTCACCCTCACCTACACTCAGCCGGAGCCATAGAAGTGTGGCTGTGGGTAGCTGGCCCTGTTCTCATCCAGACAGAGAGGACCATCTCCAAATATGATTCTGAAAGCAGCCTCAGAGCTAGGAATGCCCTGTTGAGGCAATGGCTGCCTCACTGCCTATTTTCCAGCTCACACTAGCAATTTCCTTACTTCCCAGAGGCTGCACCCCACAAGGATTTCGATTCCAGGAACCATACTTGATGCCTGGTTTGGCATCCTGGCCAACTGACCAGGAACCGGCTCTCACGGGCTGTATCCTGCCCAGTTTCAGAACACTGGGGGCTGCCTTAGTCCATGTGGGCTGCCATAGTCTGGGCAGCTTATAAACAACAGAACATATTTCTCACAGTTCTGAAGGCTGGAGTCAGGGTGCCAGCAGAGTTGGTTCAGGTGGCTTCGTCTTTTTTTGTTGTATCCTTGAATGACAGAAAGAGCATGGGGAACCTCTCTGGGGTCCCTTTAGAAAGCACTAGCCTCATTCATGAGGGTTCCAGCCTCATGACCTGTTAATACTCAAAGGCTACTCCTCCTCATACCATCGCATTGCGGGTTAGGATTTCAACATACGAAATTTAGTGGGGACACATTTAGTCCATTGCACTGCCCTTGAGCAGTTTGCAGGGAGAAAGATTCGCCTACCTGCAATGGCACCTCCAGCCCTAGAGGTTAAAGAGACACATACTGACCTGCAGCTTCCACCAGACAGCAGGTTATCACAGCACCACTTGGGAGCCTGATGTCACAGGAATGGTTATTGATTTAGCCCCTCCTATAGGCTATGGAATATGTGTCTCCTGCGGACAGACTTTGTCTCTTTTTAAATTTATTTTTGGTTCATGGGTGTATTCCCAGCACCAAGAACAGCGAACAGCACATAGTACACTTAGTAGGCTCTTAATTAATCCTTACTGAGTGAGAACAAACGAACGGAGAAGCTGGGAGTACAGAGGCCAGTTAGGTGGATAAAGGAAACGTTCCAGGAGAGAGATAATAAATTAAGGCCTCAACTAGCTTGGTTCTTAGGAGAAGGAATTACAAAGATCCTCTTTTAGGCCGGGAGCGGTGGCTCATGCCTGTAATCTCAGCACTTTGGGAGGCCAAGGAAGGTGGATCACCCAAGGTCAGGGGTTCAAGACCAGCTTGCCAACATGGTGAAGCCCCGTCTCTACTAAAAATACAAAAATTATCCGGGTATGGTGGCGGGAGCCTGTAATCCCAGTTACTCGGGAGGCTGAGACAGAAGAATCGCTTGAACCTGGAGGCAGAGGTTGCAGTGAGCCGAGATCACA
This sequence comes from Homo sapiens, assembly GCF_000001405.40. Classification (NCBI taxonomy): domain Eukaryota; kingdom Metazoa; phylum Chordata; class Mammalia; order Primates; family Hominidae; genus Homo; species Homo sapiens. The sequence continues at coordinate 1,073,166 of NC_000006.12, read as the reverse complement.
CCATTGCACTCTAGCCTGGGCAACACGAGTGAAATTCCGTCTCAAAAAAATAAAAAAGAATAAATTAAAAAACAAAAAATAAAAAAAGATCCTCTTTTCTCTGCCCGGATAGTCCACATTTTTGTATTTCCTTTTACTTGTGTATTTCAAACACTTCCTCCTTTAGGTAATCCTCCCCAACTACACCCCCAAACTTGGTTTCTCTTACTCCTATCCATATATATAATGAGTATGTGTGTAAGTATATATATAGACACACATACATACATATGTACATATTTGTATATAATTGTTTAAAAACATTTTGTAATGAAAATATCAAACATGAAATGCAACAGAAAGACTAGCACAATGAATTCCATGTACCCTTCACCCATTTTCCACAAAATGATCAATGTATGATCCATCTTCTTTCATCCATAGCCCACTTACTTCTCCCCCTTCTTGTATTAGTAGAAAAAAAAATCAGAAACCGTGTGATCTCATTGGTATGTTAGCTTTTTAAATAGCTTCCTACTGCTGTTAAAATTGATGGGTGTTGGCCAGGATGGGTGGCTCACACCTGTAAACCCAACACTTTGAGAGGCTGAGGTGGGAGGATCATTTGAGACCAGGAGTTCGAGACCAGCCTGGGCTCCTACAAGAGTAGGAGTCAGGAAGCGTAGATTTAGTCCAAATTTCCCGGTAAATCAGCTTTATGCGCACAGAGGGCCCTCTGACCTCAGTATCTTCAGCTTTTTAAAATGTGAGATTAGGCCACATGAGTGGATCTCTATAGAGGCCCTTTCTTGACACATGCAGGGGTCTGGAGGTCTATTTTAGTAACTCAGAGACTTGCTTAGATGTCCCCAAGATCCGGAGCATACCATTTGGAAGCCTTGACCCCACATGACCTTGGCGATACCTTCTAGTTCTAATGTTTTCTGAATGTTCCCACCTGTGCTCTCTGGCCTGATGAGGCTGAGAGCTGCTGGGTGGGACTCCCAGGCCCCAGTGGTGGCCAAATGCCTTTATAGTGGCTGGGAGGTATCTGCTGGTTTCAAGACTGTTTTAAGCAGTGAATCCTGGGGGTTGTGGGGAGGAAATCACCCTGGTGGCCTATCTCGTGGCCACTCTCCAGCCCTCTCTCCTCCAGGCCACACTCCTTTGGCTGCTGAGGAGCTTTGGTTATACATGGGTGATGCCGCGCCATGTGGCAGGTGTGGATTTAATTAAACGAGGGCCAAGTCAACGGTAATTGCCTCCCCAGTCATCCTGGTAATTGGACGGTGAGGCTGTATCTGCAGGGTTCTGTGTGTGGAACAAATGGCTGTGTCGCAACCCCTATTGCCACATGGCCCAGGGTGACTCCCCAGCATTCTTCTGCCAAGAGACATGGAAAGGCCCACTCAGAAACGCATGGGGAATGGTGCCCTGGAAGCCCCCGTCTGCTGCATTTCTGTGGAGGGTCTGCTCCCAGATGGGGAAGGTGTGCCCCATCTCACAGTGTGATGCCTTCTCCTACCCCTGGCTAGAGTGGCTGAAACTGAAAGCTCTGGTGAATGACATGGCATTTGCTAATCTGCAGATACTTAGTCCCCCACCCAACAACAAAACAGTGACTGAGTGCCTACTGTATACCAGTTAAACCCTGCTTGAGCATGCACATTCCACTTGTTCAGGCAAGCTCTTTCTTTCCCTTGAAATGTCGCCCCTTTGTGTGAGCTCATCAAAGTCCTCCCCTCTCCATGCCCAGCTCAAACATCACTTTTTTTTTTTTTTTTTTTGGCTGGGCACAGTGGCTCACGCCTGTAATCCCAGCACTTTGGGAGGCCAAGGTGGACAGATTGCTTGAGCTCAGGAATTCGAGATCAGCCTGGGCAACGTAGTGAGACCCTCTCTGTACAAAAACAATTATCCAGGCATGGTGGGGCACAACTCTGGTCCCAGCTACTGCAGAGATTGAGGTGGGAGGATGGCTTGAGCCCAGGAGGTCAAGGCTGAATGTGCCAAGATGGCACCACTGCACTCCAGCCTGGGCAACAGAGAAGACCCTGTCTCAAAAAAAAAAAAAAAATCACTTTTCACGCTTGAGAAAGAAAGCTTGGCCTCTTCTGAACTCCGGTGATACTCACTGTTTACTGCAAGAATGTGAATTCTCACTCCCGACCAGCCCTGTGTGCTGCTTGTTTGCCCACCTATGTCTTAGTGGGTTCCTGGGTTGCAGCTTCCTTGAAGACAGGTGGGGACCTTAACCCTTTCCTTTGGGGACACTGTGGTGCAATGGGCAGGGTTGCCATCAGTAGCTCTGAGCGTGCACATTAAACCTTAAGCAAATCTTGTTTGGTTTGGGATCCCTTTGCCTTTACTGGAGGGGAGGAAGTGGAAATGTTGCAGGAAGATGGCCTTCTAAGTGCTCAGAAGGCACTGAGTTCATGTCTGGGAAGTGTCCGTGAAGTAGTCTCTGATTCAGTAGTTGGAGATGACTTGATCCATGGGAGAGAGACAGGAACAGCAGCAACTTTCTTTGGTTCCTGGTATTTTTTCCGGCTCCAGTCCCAGTTCACTGCTCCCTAGCTTGGTGCTTTCTGGAGCCTAGGGTCAGGGACCGCTGCCGACCACCCTCCTGGATACAGTGCTGTTTAGGGTGCTTTGCTTTATGGGACACTCACCAGCTGCCCAGGGAAGCAGCAACAGGGAGGCCAAGCATCCCAGTTTGCCCAGCACTGCAGGTGTTCCCAGGATGCGAGACTCCCAGTGTTGTGCCAGCACAGTCCTGGCTGGTCACCCTAACCACAGCCATGCGGCTTCAAGCATCCAAGGGCCAAACACCGCCGGGGTGGAGAGGGTCTCATGATTAGTTTTATCTGATTGTGTCAGCTGCGCAGGGAGATGTGGCTGCATGCTGGTGAGGACAGACTGGAACCAAAAGGGCCTGAGCCAAAGTAGTTCACAGATAAGCTGTGCTCTCTGGAAACCACAGCAGACAGCCGTAAAACACCGGGAAGACAAGTCCTGCAAACACTTGCCAGCGCCCAGCTTATCACACACGAGATGTATAAGCAGAGCCCTGGAAGGCACGGCTACCTCGCTTCGGGGAAACGTAAACAGAGAATAAATAACGAGCCTGCCTCGGGCTTTCCCCTGTAGAAAGCTCGAGAATGGGAAGCCTCACTTAGAGAGGTCTAAGATGAGTTCATTTAAAATTTGGGGAGATTTTAAAGCCCATCCACATTGAAGTGGATGTTTAGAAGCTCAGCTCTGTTCTATGGAGTGGTCACAGGACGGATAGAAGTGGCTGAGGCCTCCACTCACTGGCCGCCACTGCCACTCCAGACAATTGAGGGGCTCCAGTCCAGGGCTGAGCAATGGCGGCCGTGGGGCCTTCCCTTTGAGAAATGGGAAATGCAGGCAAACCACTGCCCTCTCAGCACAGGGATGATGTAACTTGTAACATTTATCTCTAGCTTAATTATTAGAGATGGGGCCACTGATAGTACACCAAAGTCAGTGTGAAGCTTACTCCAGTGACAGACAGTTGGTCAATTATCTGGGCAGCATCAGATTATTTTGATCTTTCAGAGGGTTTGATCCTTTTTGCGTGGGTCACTATTACTGTTTTAGAACATCAGCCAAATAAAAAGAAAAATGTTTCATCTTCACAACCCTAGCAGGATAAAGCATTTCAAGAATCCCCTGCAGAATAATAAACAAATCTTTATAAATTAACTTTAGTTAATCCACTGGATGTTGGGAAATTCAGTGAAACCACCTTCATTTATTTTTGGAGAGATGCTGTGTCCAGGTCAGGCAGGCAGAAGATAGAGTCTTGTTTGACAGGGAGGCATTTGCTGAGCACATAATGAGAGTGGGGAGACACACACAGACACGCACAGACACGCACACAGAGACACACACACATGCACACACGGAGACACACATACACCACACACATACAGACACATACACATGCACACACACACGGAGACACACAGAGACACACATACAACACACACACAGACACACACACCTACACCACACATACATACATGCACACACATAGACACACAGAGACACACAGACACATACACACAGACACACATACAGAAACACAGGCACACACACAGACGCAGACACAAATACACCACACAAAGATACACACGCACAGAGAGAGAGACATACAGATAGAGACAGATACATATACACACTCAGAGAGAGATACAGAGAGAGAGACACACAGAAAGACAGAGATAGAGACACACACACAGACATACGCATGCAGAGAGAGACAGAGAGAGAGAGACTCACATATACACAGAGAGAGAGAGAGAGACAGACACACACACAGAGACATATACACATGCAGAGAGACACAGACAGACAGACGGGGGCACCTCCGCCTACCTCCGCGCCTGATGTCTGTTCTAACCCCAGTCCCAGGGTATGTGTGACCTCAAAATATATCCCCCTTTCATCATGGTAACTGAGTGTGTTTCTATTTCTTACATCTAGGACAGCCATCATAGCTACAAAACAGATGGATGCGGTAACACAGAACACCAAAAACCTCCGCTTAAGACTCGGCTGGGAAATTGAGTTGCCTTTTTTAATGGAAAAGGAAAAGAATCACCCATAAGGATAACCTTGAATTTAGAAAGAGCGGGTGGGTGGGGTGATCAGCTGGGCCTCTTCTGTGCATGGTAGAGCACATTTCAGAATTGTGTGTGTATCAGTGGTCACTGTAATTTAAGAAAAAAGAACAAGAATTCAGAAAATTATATCCTATCCGAAAAAAAGGCTACTCTAATGTTCCTGATGACTTCATTATCAACTGGAGTTATTTATTTTTCTAAGAATGTTATCTTTGGAGATAATTTTCATCAGTGAGTCAACCTTTGTTTGCTTGCATTGGTTTCACCTTCTATTATTTTTTACCCATGACTGTCAGCTTTTACCACTTACTGAACCCTGACGGAAGAAGGACGTCTGCTCATTGACATGCTGACAACCTGATAAGTCACCCCACACACATACCACACACACACGTGCACATCCACTCATTCGACTCGCTCAGACCCAGTGGCTAGTGTCGATTTTTCTCTAAAGTTGACTATATAATAATCACTTCATTTCCCAGAAACTCATGTGTCTATTCTTTTTTTAAATTAAAAAAATTCAACTTTTATTTTAGATACAGAGGACACATGAGCAGATTTATTACATGGGGATATTGTGTGAAGATGAGGTTTGGGGTTCAGATCTCATTAAATACCAAGAAGATCTCTGAAAATTACACAAATATATGGAAATTAGATAACTTACTTTTGAATATCTCTTGGGTGAGCATCAAAATCATGGCAGAAATTTTTTTAATTGAAATTAATAAATATAGGGACACAACTTTCCAAAATCTTTGGGATGCATCCAAAGCAGTTTACAGCCCTAGAAATGCCTTCATCAAGAAGCTAGAAAGGTCTCAGGGTAACATCTGTCTCTTCTTACTGTTATGAGTAAACAGCGATCACCATGTACTTTTAGGCATTCTTGCATTGATGAAGAGGGTTCTGTGTGCCCAACATTGCTCCAACCTCGAACCAGCTTTGAATCTCCTGGGGATGACATGCTCCAAGGTCAGCTCCTTCATGCTGGTCATGGCTGTGGGTGTGTCTGGGATGTGTGTGTGTTTCCTCACGTGCAGGCAGAGTGGTATTTGCTGGGCAGGAACTGTGGAATCTGTGGCTCCTATTCCAGGCCTCTAGTCAATAAAAACCAGCATCTTAGAATATTCCAGTCACCAATAGGGAAAATTGCTCCTGTAAATTTTGACTGTGAGGGGCAATCTCTTAGTTCAAGCTGATGCCTTTCTAATATCTCCATCTTTTAATGGTACTACAAAACGTCAAAGGACTCTCACAAACCTGCCTCATAACCAGCCATTCCAGCCATAGAGCAAAGTGTGTATCATTCTTACTGAGTTTGCATTGAGGAATCAGAAGCTCTGAGAGATGGGCCGACACATCCACGGTCACACAGTCTTCAGAATTCACCAGGCCAAGGCTCAGGAGCTTCCATGCTTTCTTCTTTACTTGTAGAATTTTTTTAAACTTATTCCTTTAAGATCTTTCATTGTACTTTCAACGCACTCCTGACCAATGCATTTTAAGACAACAGGGCTAGCGTGCAATTGGATTTCGGAGGGCAGTCATGTCAATGAAACTAGATAAGTCATTGTAAATTGTTATTTAACAACCACAGAATTGCTGTAGAACATCTGTTGCTGACGGCATGCTCAGGGCTGTTTCTTTTCAAGCTCACTGCCTGGCTGTGGAACATCAGACCAGATTTATGCACGTGCTCCTCCTGGTTTATGACTATGAAATTTGAAGAACGGCTCTCTTGGAATCGAGTATTTTCTTCAATTTCCTCTTGCCCTCTAGTTTAATCTAGTCCATCTGAAAGGAGTCCCACAGTATTGGGGACGGGGGCAGAGTATGGTGGCTTCACGTCCTCTGAAACCTGTTGCATTATCAGCTGCACTGGCAGGTCCCAAAGCTGGCAGAGGCCAGAGCCAAAGGCCTCATCTACAGATCAAGAAAGAAGTGAAGAGAGGAGAGGGGGATCCATACCCCTGCGTCCCTCCACTCCCCAGCACACCTCTGCTCACCTAGCTAATGAGGCCAGTAGAAAGGTACGCATTTGAGTTTTATTTTCAAGATTTTGCTATTTCTTTGAGAAGCCTAAAAGGTTAGTTGCTCCCCAAACTCTTGTATAAATCAGGGCTAGTTTCCCCTGGCCAATGTACCACTTCCTCCTCTATCCTGATGGGCCTTGGAGTGGTGATTCTATTATTTGCTCTTTTCTCTTTAGTGTAAATCTTATCTCCCCAATTTCCTTGAGGATAAGAGCCACGATTTATGCTTGATGATTTAGCAAGTCCTCTGCAAACACTCACTGTGGAATTGATGGGTAATAGACGCGGACGTAATCCTTAACATTGTGGATCTGGCTCATCTGGTCAAGACTTTGTCTACTCAGATGAGATTACGGGATCCTACCTTGGCAAGAGTTTCTGTAGGAATTCCGACATTCCTGGAGGAGGGGGTCATGCGTGAATCAGTGTGAGTCCGTCTGATCTCTTCATTCTTGGGAACCTTCTATTCCCTCAGAATGTAGAATAGTAAAGCAGGTAAAAGCACATGTTTAGAGTCAGACTTTCATGGGTGCCCCAACCAAGGTGGCTGACCTTGGGCAAATTCCATGGCCTAAAGACAATTCTGTTTTCTCCTCTTTAATATGGGCATAATCCTGGTAAGTACTTCATAGGCTTGTGAGGGCTATATGGTTGGATCCATATCTAGGGTTTAGAACCGTGTTCAGTGTGAAGCAAGTGTTTAATGGATGCTTGATATTTTCATATTTTCGTGGTTATCATACTGCCTCTCCATCTTCTCTTTCTTTTGTTTTGTTTTTATTGGCTTTTCTTTTTTTTTTTTTTTTTTTTTTACGGAGTCTTGCTCTGCCACCCAGGCTAGAGTGCAGTGGCATGATCTCGGCTCACTGCAATTTCCACTTCCCTGGTTCAAGGATTCTCCTGCCTCAGCCGTCTGAGTAGCTGGAATTACAGGCAGCCTCCACCACACCCGACTAGTTTTTGTATTTTTAGTAGAGACGGGGTTTTGCCATGTTGGCCAGGCTGTTCTCGAACTCCTGACCTCAAGTGATTCACCCATCTCAGCCTCCCAAAGTGCTGGTATTACAGGTGTGAGCCACTGCGCCCAGCCAGGTATGTTGAATGTACAAAACTCTTAAGGCTATTGACACAGTCATACCAAAAAATCTCTTCTCAATTTATCTTCCTTCATCTTTAGCATCTTCTTTCCATGAGCTGAGCTGAGGGGCAGGCTCTCTTCCAAGACCATGCAGTACAAGACTTCCCTTAGGTTCCTCCTTCAGACAAGGGAGAATTACTCCCATCTTGATCCTTTCTTTTGTTTCAACTTTATTTCAGATCTTACCTTTCCAAAGGAGGTGCTCATGTTTTTACATTTCCTCTGGGGTTCCCTGTCCCTGTTTTTGTCTTCCTTTTATCCTTCATCTAACTCTTTGCCCACAGAAATTCCAAAGATACTGCAAGGCAGGGGTTGCAACCTATAAACCAAATTCAGTTCAACGGTGTGTGATTTAAAGAACAAATCAAATTAGTTTCCAACACAAACACTTGCAAATAGAAAGCTGTCAAAATGTTGGGTTTTTGGTTTTTCTCCTGAAGTCTAGAGGACCTGGCAACAGTGGGCCTGCATTGCACAGGGCATAGACCTGCAGGAGCTGAGTGCATAGGCACCTCAGAGTGTTACAGGCTCTGTCCTGCTGCCCTGGGCCCTCCCAGCCAGCCTCCAGCCAACCTCCCTCACCTGCCCTCCCTACCTGGATCTTGGAGGTGTATGATTTTGTGATACCTGCTTTAGAGCAAGAACACTTGAGCACAGAGACCCAGAATGATATGACGACAATGCCTTTGGAGTGTGAAGACCTGGCTACAAGTCCTGGCCTTCACTAGCTGCCTGATCGTGCACCAGTCCCAAATCTTATAATTTTTTGTGTGCTTCTTTATCTGGTAGAGGGTGAGGACACTTGACCTCTGTCCTTACAGGACCACGGGGAGGAATTTTAGAGAGAAGGGGCATGAAAGTACTTTGTAAAGGGCAGTGCAGACGTTAGCTCTGAGGACGGGCCTCCTGTGTGTATCTCAGAGGGCTATCCCAGGATCATTGATGTTGCCAACACAAGAGTTTGTGCCAAATCTTCCCTCTGCCTTTGACTCTCTGAATGTGAGAATTTTTGCTCATGAGTGTTGGAGGCCATGACAGTCAGTATCAGTCCAGCAAGTCATTCTTTTTCCAAGCTTGTTACCTGCCTGAAAGGAGGCAGTAAAGCAGAGGTGCACAGCGCACCAACAGTGTTATCGGCAGGCTGCCTGACTTGGAAAAGGAGGAAGGTCGTTCCTACACATTTTCGTTCCTTGTTGGTTTTCACTACAAAGGACCTCACACACCCCCATAGTGCCCGTGGGCTGGCGTGTCCCCAGGATAAATAAAACCTGCATTTTTCTTATTAATCATCAATATGAAAACACATGACCTCTCTTTCTATTGTTCTGTGCCTGGTTCACGCCCTGTATAATTTTATATGGTTCCTACAGCCCTGACATGCCCTGAGCAACAATCGACATTGATTCACTGACTTATAAAAGTGTATTATCTGTTCTCTGTGTCTACGTAGAGTTCTCTGAGAGTTGCCCAGGCAGTGACTCAGGACTCCAGAGAGAGGTGCACAGAGCGGTCACACACCAGGGAGGGAGCGATTTGCAACTCAGAATACTTCTTAGCAGAAAGCACATTTGGGCTTGATCTGCTCCTTGATTTCTGTGGGAGTGACTTCGTGACAGTTTCAAGCTGAATCCTACATTTGCTTCTTAAGTCAACTGAAATTCCATTCGAGTTAGATCCATTCTGTGTCCACTTTAAAAGCCAAGCTGTTTAGTGGGGGATTGTTATGACACAGCAAGCTTGACAAAAAATACACCTGGTCTTAGAAGCAATCTTTGCATAGCTCTGAATGCACAGAAGAAAATCGTGCTTGGGTAAAGGCAAGGATTTCACTAGGCATAACTCACCATGAGGCATAGATCCTTGAGCAAAAGTCCAGCAGTATGTATGTATGCATGCTGAGCATGATGCTACCAGCTTAGCAGCAAATGTTGGTGAAGGAAAATAAAACAATGCATGTGTCCAACATTAAAAGTTTCTAAGTTTAAAAGTACAACAAAATTCTGCTAAATTTCTAACGGACGCTAATGTTTACAACTTCTCTTTGAGTCAGAAGGTTTTAGTTATTACTAAAACATGCTTCCTCAATTCCAAGCCTCTTCATTTTAATGTATTTGTAACTAGGCAATTACACAGTCTGGAGAGATCCTTCGTGCTCACTAAATATCCATGCTCTTTCTTCCATTTCCCAGCCTTCTTTGCAGTTTTCCTGGACTCATGAAATAAGAACAAAGGCATTGTGCATCGCCTTCAGGTTGAGGCAGCTAAAAGCTAGTAAGCCTCCTTCATTTCCCTCTTCCCCTGACAGTGGGGGACCTGTGCTCTAGAGGGCATCCCCGCATAAGGAGAGTGGCGGCCCGGCCCACATTCAACTGTGACCTGAGAAAGGAATGAACCGTGATGATGTGAAAGAATGCTGTGGCCTTTGTGTGTTACCACAGCATAGCTTGTCCTATCCTGTCTAATACACACATTTAAGGTAAAGAGGATTTTCCCCTGCAAAGCTAATATTACATCTATGACAAATGTTATCATTATTGTCATAGAATCCAAAAAATACAAATTCTATTTATTTAACTTCAGTGGTAAATGAGAAACTTTCGAGAAGCAGTAATTGTATCTAGAGAAGCTATTCTCAGTTGAAGGTAGGGGCAGCTTCCAGACAATCCCTAGAGAGCACTCCCAAACCCCTATACCTTCCCCACCCTAATCCTCTTACCCTCCAGATTTGGAGACAACTTTTTCTTCTACATACTTTTGATAACCACAAATTAGAGAGAGAGAGAGCAAGATTCCAGGAGCATCCACCAGTTGAGCCGTGAACAATGCAGGGTTTAGGGGTGGTGACCCCTGCAAGTCAAAACCCCACATACAATTTTTGACTCCCCAAAAACTTGACTCTAACAGCTACTGTTGACCAGAAGCCTTACTGAGAGCGTAAACCATCGACTAACACGTTATGTATGCTGTATGTATTACATACTGTATTCTTACAATAAAATAAGCTAGAGAAAAGAAAATGTTATTAAGAAAATTGTGTGGAGGAGGAGGAAAAGAAGGAGTTGGCCTTGCTGTCTCAGGGGTACCAGATATGGAAGAGAATGCGCATATAAGTGGACCTGCACAGTTTAAACCTGTGTTGTTGTGTTGTTCAAGGGTCAGCTGTAAGAGAGTTCACATAAAGATGTTATCCTTCCCATTGCTTCCATTTTTTTCTTTATTTTGTTTAAATAATATCTATTGGAGGAGGCCAACGAGGTGAGATTCCAGAGGCAGCCAGAGGCAGTGGGAGTGGTTGGGGCCCAGGAGAGAAGCTCAGAGAAGGCCTGGTGGGTTGAGGCTGAGGAGGGGATGAGGAGAGGCCAGCATAGGGACGACAGAGGAGGTGACCAACCTGGAGACTGTGCATGCATGGGATTGAGAAGGTGAGTGACTGTGCTGAGGACAGAGGGAGTCAGGTTCCTCACCATTGAAGAAGAGAGTTGTAAGTGCAGAAAGTGGGGAGGCTAGAACAAACCCTGTGGTGTTGGGTTGGAATCGGTGGTATCTGGGTGAACTCAAGGTTTTTAGTATACACAGTTAGAGATGGATATAGACATACTTGCCTGTGTGTGTGTTGGGGGGATATGCATATAAGCGTATACCTCCTAGCTCCCTCTGCTGAAGAGCTCAATGAACGTACAGCAATAGCAATGAGCTTATCCAGCATCCACATACTGGTTTCTAAATAACATTCTCCACTAAAAGAATGCAGAATTTCTTGGAAAAATGGCTGATTCCAGGCTGAGGCAGGGTAATTCCAAGATTAGCTTGGAAAATCTTTTACCAGAAAGTAAGGACATGTCCAAGAATGATGGGGGCGTAGAAAGGATGCAGGAGCCACGCAGAGGTGAAACCACTGGCCAGATCTTGGATAAGCTGAGCATCAAAATAAGTGATAATAACAGATTATAACCCACTGAATAAAATAAGAATTCATGAGTTTACTGTGATGCAAAAAAAAAAAAAAATACATGGGAGAAAAAGTAAAAGTTATCCTGATAGTAGGATGCCAACAATTAAGTGTAGAAGGAGATGTGAAATTAAACATTTCCCATTTGGAAACAAAATAGTAATAATTGATTCTGGCAGGAATCACCAATGGGTGCTAAAACCAGTGGAGGAAAGTTTGATAAGGAAGGAGGTATTTGCCTATCTCAGAGTTTTTCACTACAGAATAGTCAGAAACTATAAGCACAAACAAGAACTTTCCAGTGGAGAAGCCAGGAAGACCGTCCCGCCAGGGGAGCTGATTCAGCCTGGGCAGCCGTAAGACACTGCAACATCACCCATCTTGCCGGGTGAGCCACTGAGAAGACACCATTTCTGCGGGATTCCTGTCCAGAATGCACACCCTCAACGTAATCACAGGACAGGTCCAGATAAACCCAAATTGTGGGACACTTTAGTGGCTGTTGTTCTCAAAAATGTTGAGGCCATGAAAGATATGGAAGGACTGAGCAGCTCTTCCTCAGAGGAGGGGAGGAGAGACATGGCAGCCAAGTGCGACGTGCAGTCTTCATCCCATCCTGGACCACTGTGTGTATAGATGGACAGACAGACAGATACATAAATTGATGGATACATAGATAGATAGTTACATAGATAGATAAACAGACAAACATGCATAGATAGATAGATGATAGATACATAGGTAGGAAGATATATCTATTTATATAGATATATAGATTATAGATAGGTAGATGATAGACATACAGAGAGACAGATAGATACATATGTAGATGGATAGATAGTAATAGTATATATTTTATATATATTTTGAGTGTATATATTTTGCAGTAAAAACATTGGGATAAATAGTGAAATTTAAATGGGGTCAGTGGATTAGAGGATAATGATGTATTAATGTTAATTTCTTTTTAACTTATTTTTTATTGTAGTTAAAATGCATAACATAAAAATTACCATCTTAATTATTTCTAAGTGTACAGTTTGGTGGTGGTTGCTATGTTCACATTGTTGTTAATGCTAATTTCTTGATTTGGATGGTTGTACTGTGCTTATAGGAAGGCTTCTTTGCCTTTAGAAAATATGTGTTTAGAGTAAAAAGTGTGTGCGTGTGCATTTATATGTGTGTGTGTGTGTGTATGATATATAGATGTAAAAAAGGGAAAATCATCAAGTAGGTATGCTAAATAACAATTGGAGAAGGCAGAAAAATGGTATATGGAATTCTTTGTACTATGCTTGCAATTTTTCAGTAAGTTTGAAATTATTTCAAAATCAAAAGACAACTATTGAAACCGCTGTGGTGCCTTCGATTCTCTGCTATCCTTCCCCGGACTCACCGCCTTCTGGAACCACAGAGATCCTCTTTGTCATTCACTTTTTGTGAGTCTGCGTTCTCTGGGGGAAAATAGAAAGAGAAAGCGTCTCCAATGGGTAGCAAAATGGAAAAAGAAGAGAAACTAGTGTGTCTAATCCTCATTCCCCCAAGGCATCATGAGGAAAATAAAATTCTTTCTGTCCTGAGTCCCAGGCTCCTCCGGCCTCTGAAACCTGCCTCACCGGCAGGGCTCAACCCCGTGACTCTCTGCCCCAGTCCCTCTCAGATCCCCACCTCCACCCGAGCCTGACATTCCCCTCTCTGAGCTCTTACAGCAACTAAGCCACTTTACACAAAGGTGATTCTCCATCACATTGAGGAGATTTGTGTTGTTTTCTGTATAAGTTCATAAAAGCAAGGTTTTGAGTTTTTAGTTTTTTTAAATTGTGGAACAATACACGTAACATACATTTACCACCTTAACCATTTTTAAATGTGCTGTTCAGTGGCATCGTTGATTGACATTGTTGTGTAATCATCAGCACCATCCATCTCCAGAATTTTTTTACCTTCCCAAGTTGAAACTCTGTCCCCTTTCACCAGTAGCTCCCCGCTCCCCTCCCCCAAGCCCCAGCAACCCCCATTCAACTTTCAGTCTCTGTGATTTTTGACTGTCTAGGAACCTCAAGTAAGTGGAATCATGCAGTATCTGTCCTTTTATGAGTGGCTTATCTCGCTGAGCCTGGGGTCCTCAGGGTTCATCTATGTTGCAGCATGGGTCAGGGTTTCCTTCCCTTTTTTTTTTATTGAGACAGAGTCTCGCTCTGTTGCCCAGGCTGGAGTGCAGTGGCGCGATCTCGGCTCACTGCAAACTCTGCCTCCCGGGTTCAAGCGATTCTCCTGCCTCAGCCTCCTGAGTAGGTGGGACTATAGGCGCCCGCCACCGCGCCCAGCTAATTTTTTTGTATTTTTAGTGGAGACAGGGTTTCACCGTGTTAGCCAGGATGGTCTCGATCTCCTGACCTCGTGATCCGCCCACCTCGGCCTCCCAAAGTGCTGGGATTACAGGCGTGAGCCACCGCGCCCGGCCTCCTTCCCTTTTGACACTGAATTCCATGCTGTATGCATAGACCGTGTTTCCTGATGGATTCCTTCATCTAAGGATGGATGCTTGGGTTTGCTTCCATCTTTTGGCTTCTGTGAATGATGCTGCTATGAATGTGGTTCTACAGGAATCTGTTTGAGACGCTGCTTTCAATTCTTATGGGTACACACCCAGAAGTGGAAATGCTGGGTCATAGGATAATTTTTTGTTTAATTTTTTGTGGGTCTGCCATACTGTGTTCCACAGTGGCTACACCATTTTACATTCCCACCAACAGTGCACGAGGGTCCCAAAGGTTTTAGTGTTTACCTCCTTTGTGTCCCCTGGTCAACAGGTTCACCCTGGCCAACACTTTGGCCTGAAGTTATTTAAACCAAGAGGCTTTGTATACAGTCATTGCCACACCACACTCTGTGTCTGCTGACCAGCACGCTGTGGGAAAACACAGTTAGGCCTAGCGTGCTGGGGCACTCACCCCCACAGTGCCTTCTTCCCTGGATATGGGATCCCAGAGTGTAAGAGTTGGAAGAAACACAGTATCAGTAATGACTGGGACTCTTCTTCAAATCAGTTCTAGTTATGTCATTCAGACCTGCAGAATGACATAACTACAAGGGGTTGGGGACAATTGGACAACTGTAAAATATTGCAAAACATAGTTTTAAGCTGCCCATATACCCAAGTGATAATGTATGGGCTTTTTGAAGATATCCACATGTCCCAGACAAACAGGAAAGGTAAGAACAGGCATTAAAGAAACCTCCATCTTGTTGTTTTTCAAAAAAGACACAGAAATCTGCCAGGAGAGGTTTAATACTCTTGTTATCAGGACTAGCACTTTCTGATTGCAAGTGGCAGATGAGCTTTATCATAAACCTAGCATTTAGAGTGCTTCCAAAAGCAATCTTAATCTCTTCTTATCTTCTCCAGGAAGACGAGGCTGCCGGCACAGCCAGCAGGGACTCGTTTTTATGGTTCTCAGGTGTCTAGATGCTGGAACCTGCTGTCTGGTTTCTATACATTTTACTTGCCTCCTGGGGATGATGGGAGCATATGCCAGGCTGAGATGGGTGGCAACCTACATTTTAATTCTTTAAATTGCTAACTCCACCCTTGAGCCTACAACAAGTAGGTCTGCACTGCAGAAAGAAATCACGTCGCCATGGGGTCGCTGCGAGTAGTTCCTTACTGGGTGGGATGTGGAAGGGGAGCGCTGAGGGACAGCATTGGGTGGAAGCAAGATAGCAACAGCTGCAGGGAGCAGCAGCGGGACTGGGGCGAAGGCTGTGCTCTGGTGAGCTCCGTGTAACACAGGAGGGCTGACGCTGGCCCAGATAGGCTGGCGCTTGCCAGAAAAGGGCATTAGCAGGAAGACCCAGGAGCAGATTTTCAACACGGGTTGCACAGTGTAATTAACTGGAGATAGTTTAAATATCCAGATTTTCAGACCACACCCAAACCAATTAAAAAGAAAAGGGCTTCTGGGGTCAGAACCCAGGCATCCATATTTTCAAAACCTCCATAGGTGAGTACAATGCCCATCGAAAACCATGGAGAACCATTGCAGTAAGACACACTTGCATATCACGTGTGTGACACATGTGTGACACCTTCCAAAAAGCAAAAGCATTTGGGGAAAATTAATGAAGAGTGATAAATAGCTTATCTTTAAAAATGTACATCTTGGCCAGGCCTGTAATCCCAGTACTTTGAGAGGCCAAAGTGAAGGGTCATTTGAGGCCAGGAGTTCAAGACCAGCCTGGACAACATAGGGAGACATCAACTCTCCCAAAAAAAGTACATCCTGCAAAGAACAGACTGGGTGAATATAAACAAAATGTTAGCAATAGTCATCTTTGTATAACAGTGTGGGACTATAGTTTATTTTCTTTTGTGTTATCTTTGCATAACCGTGTGGGACTATAGTTTATTTTCTTTTGTTTTCTTCTATTTCTCAGCAAAAACTCTCTAATCTTTTATAACAAAAGTCATACTTCAAAAAATCTCATGATAAACAGTTTGCAATTTGCTCATAAAAGGAGAGACCATATTATTTAAAGGATGGGGGTTGTTGTGGAATCTGGTGTGCCCCCTGGAAGATAGCACAGAGCTAACACAGGGTCTCTGGCAGCTCCCGGAGGGGCCGGAGCCAGGGGCCAGCACACCGACTCCTTGTGTTTGCCCTGTGTGGGGCCGCATGTCCTGGCTCTGTCAAGGCTGCCGGTGGCTCAGTGTCCCAGATAGGCGGTGCTCACTGTCTCCCAGACACCAGATGAGGACACCCAGGGCTGTGGAGCCTTTTTTTTTTTTTTTCTGAGATGGAGTCTCGCTCTGTCACCCAGGCTGGAGTGCAGTGGCAGGATCACGGCTCACAGCAAGCTCCGCCTCCCGGGTTCACGCCATTCTCCTGCCTCAGCCTCCTGAATAGCTGGGACTACAGGCATCTGCCACCACGCCCGGCTAATTTTTTGTATTTTTAGTAGAGACGGGGTTTCACTGTGTTAGCCAGGATGGTCTCAATCTCCTGACCTCGTCATCTGCCTGCCTCGGCCTCCCAAAGTGCTGGGATTACAGGCTTGAGCCACCTCGTCCGGCCGGCTGTGGAGTCTTCTGCTTCCAGATGTGCCACTGACTTTCTAACTGGCCCGAGTGAGGTCACTTACCCCGAAGCCTGATTGACAGCCCCTCCCCTGGAGTGCGTTGTGAACACTGAAAGTAGTGTCAGTGAAGGGCTTGGTTTCTCTCCAGCAAGAAAACTTGCTGTGCACAGTGCAAAGTCCAAAGACTTGAAGATACTTCAGAGGTGACACTCCCCCCGCCAAAGACTTCCATGAAGTGGGACCTGCTAGATGTTATGGTTCTTTCCATGAAGTCCCAGGAAGTCCTCCTGCTTTGATTTTCAAAGCTGCTATCATGCTGTTTTAGAAATATTGCTTTCACGGGTCTTCTCCAGTTGACAGTAGATGCCCTGTGGTTCATTTGTTCTCATGCTGGCCTTAGCTCTTTTAGGATAGCCTCCAGTCTCTGTGTTGAATAAGGCAAGGTCAAAGCAGCAGCCTCCTTGCATTTATTCCGTATGCAAATGCACCTTTAGCCTGTGCTATTCTCCAGGGCAGTGGCATGAAGTCAGGAATCACAGGGGATAGGTAGGTCTTATTCCCCCGCTGGGATGGGTACTCGTGGCCTGGAGCATGGACAGATTTCCGAGGATAGAGAGGAAAGGCAGGGGCTGGAGATTTTAAGTGGACTTTTCTCACCCACATGTGGAAAGGAAGTTTGGAGTAGAGAAGAGTTGTTCCCTCCGACACGTTTCAGGCCATGCCTTTACGTCCATCTAGCCTGCTTGTCATCTGCACCCCAGCACCCATCCCCTGCAGCCCCCACAGTAACACCAGGTCTGGCCTCAGAAGTGCCTCCCCCAGCCTCAGGTCCAGTCTCAGGTGACCGTGCAGGGTGCTGCCTCCTGGGCTCACTGCCCAGTGAGGAGAGGAGGCAACGGGGAGCTTCCACATCTCCTCTAAAGACTCACTTCTTTCCTCATTCCATCCTTTTCGATCTTTGCTTTGCCAGTTCCCACCATGGGCATCTGGAATGAAGGACGGGAAGAAAGAGAGAGGGAGAAAGGGGAAGAGGAGGCGTCTGCCACTGCCTTGTTTGCTCACTTCAAAGGGCTCCCTAATGAGTCTGTCTATTGTCTAAGCTCCTTGTCTATACCTGAGTTTTGCAATCTATACACCTAGGGAGATCACAGGGAACCGAAAGGAGCCTCTCACCGCAGGACGGGACAGCCCACCCTCCCCCTCCACATGGAATCAAAGGGGCAATTGTCAAAGGCAAATGAATTTGATCTGGAGGATTGCACAGATACTGGAACAGGTTCAGTGAAAGAGAAAAGAATGTGCATAGCCGGTGGGGGTGGAGGAGGCAGGAAGATGGGGAAGGGGAGCTGTTGGAAGCCAAGATCAAATTAATTCCCACTTAGATCACCTTTTGATGTATTTCCTCATCCCTGCTGCCACAGTGGTGAGCTCCTGGAGATTTCTAGAAATTCCTTTCCCATATCTATTCCCCACTCTGTTCCCTGTGTGCTGGGCCACTGGTTGTCAACCGGTGTCTGGGGAGGGAGGAGGTGATGAACATTTGCCAAAGTCGGAGATGCTTTCCATTGTCACCACAAGGGGAAGGGGGTCCCTGGCCCTCAGCGGTGGGTGGAGACCAGGGGTGTTTCTAAGTAGCCTACAATACACAGAACAGCTTCCCACAACAAAATATTATCTGACTTAACACGTCAAAAGTGTCATGATTGGCCGGGCGCGGTGGCTCACATCTTAATTCCTCCCACAATATGAACTGATGAAGTGGCAACAGTGCCAGATATGGCTTGCAGAATCCAGGATGTGTACTGTGCCATGGGTGTGCTGAAGGGGGATAGTCACTACTTCCCCAGCAGCATCCAGAACACTATGAAACCATGGTGCACACACTGTACTATGTGGCTGAGAAGATGCTAGAAATGGGACAGAAACACTCTTAGTGAGTAGAATTTCCTGTTTCCAAATTTCTTTTGCTTGAGCAGTGTCCACAGAAGACAAAGAACTACTGATATGAATATGTGCATGTCTGTGTCTGTGGGTATGGCTGCAGTTATGGCTGTGTCTACGGCTACATCTGCTGTGTCTATGATTACGTCTATATTTATGTCTGCCTCTATGGCTATGGCTACCTTTATGTCTATGTCTATGGTTTTGTCTACGTCGATATCAGTGTAGATGTCGATGTTAATGGCTATGTCTATGGTTTTGTCTATGTCTATGTCACTGTTGATGTCTGTGTTGATGGCTATGTCTGTGTCAATGTTGATGGCAATGTTGATGGTTATGTCTATGTTGACGGCTATGCTATGTCTATGTCTATGTTGCTGTTGATGTCTGTGTCTCTGGTTATGGCTGTGTCTATGGCTATGTCTATGTCACGATTGATGTCTGCGTCTGTATTGATGGCTATATATATGGATGTGGCTAGGCTATGTCTATGGCTATGTCTACGTCACTGTTGATGTCTGTGTCTGTGTTGATGGCTATGTCTATGGCTGTGGCTATGGCCATGTCTAGGTCTATGTCTACGTCTATGTTGCTGTTGATACCTACATTAATGACTATGTCTATGTCTACGTTGCTGTTGATGTCTGCGTCTGTGTTGATGGCCGTGTCTATGGCTGTGGCTATGGCTATGTCTAGGTCTATGTCTACTTCTGTGTTGCTGTTGATACCTACATTGATGACTATGTTTATGTCTACATGTACATCTGTAGTTATGGCTATGGTTGTGTTTATGTCTGTGTCTGTGTCCGTGGTTGTGTTTATGTTCATGGCTATGGTTATGCCTATGTGAGTTTTCGGACCTAAATTGGGGTCCGTTGTGGAGGACTAAGACTTCCAGTATGTCTTTGCTCAAAAAAATACCCAGAGAATATGATTTAAGCTCCAAATGATAATTAGTTATTGGATCTCTGTCTTGTTCAAGTGCTTAGTTACCATTGCCACATATGCCTTCAACAATCCACAGTTATTGATGTTTTCCTATGTGTCAATTACTGGATAAGCACTGAGTACACATGGGTGAAAAGGACAGACACTGCCCCTGTCCTCATAGAGTAAGTAGTCACTTGGTTGCTCACTCTTTTTCTCCCTCCTCTTTCAAAGCTTTCATGAAATTCCATCCTAGTTTTTTTTTTTTTTTTTTTTTTTTTTCAGACAGAGTCTCACTCTGTCACCCAGGCTGGAGTGCAATGGCACGATCTCGGCTCACTGCAAGCTCCGCCTCCTGGGTTCACGCCATTCACCTGCCTCAGCCTCCCAAGTAGCTGGGACTACAGGCGCCCACCACCATGCCCGGCTAATTTTTTGTATTTTTAGTAGAGATGGGGTTTCACCATGTTAGCCAGGATGGTCTCGATCTCCTGACCTCATGATCCACCCACCTCGGCCTCCCAAAGTGCTGGGATTACAGGTATCAGCCACCGCACCCGGCCTCCATCCTAGTTTATGACAGAGGCTATGAAGTACCAACAGCAAAAGTATCTCAGAAAGATACCATAAAAAGCCTACAGAAAACATACCTATAAAAAGCCTTCTGTGAAAGTTGTCTTTTAAGAGCAAAACATAGAAGCACAAATCATTCCACACAGCCCACTGTTTAGGAGTCACAGCTTACTGGGCAATGCCAAGTGCATCAGAAGGATGGGGGGCTATGGATCCTTTTGGGAATGAACTCATTTTCCAGTGAGATGAACTAGTGTCAGGAAGGGAGAAGTGGTTCTGAATACACCCTCAGGTGGACAGGTCACAGAAACCTACCACCAGCCAAGCCTTGGGGACTCATCTCTGAGCCTCATGAAAGAGGAGCTAGAGGTACTATCTTCATGAAGAGGTGGTGAGATCCAGAACCCAGTGACCAAGGATGTGTGGGGAGTACAGGGTGTCTCGGGCAAAGAAGGACCAAAGAGCACACAGGGTGCTTTTGCATCTTCAAGGCTGGCAGCTGCAGGAACGCTGGGAGAAGACACTACTGGCTCACATATTGATGTCGTCCTTGAGGATAGATCTTGGTAAGGGGTCACCCTCAAAAGCTCTTCCTGCAGGGACCTTGTTGTGGGCTGAATTCTGTTCTCCTTAAAATTCATACATTGAGTCCTGACCCCCAGGACCTCAGAATGTGCTGTCTTGGAGATAGGGTCTTAATGAGGTAATTAAGGTAAAATGAGGTCATAGGGGTGGGCCCTAATGTGATGGCTGATGGCCTCATAGAAAGAGATTAGGACTAAGACAACACACAGACTGAGGGGTGACCATGTGAAGACACAGGGAGAAGACAGCCATTGACAAGCCAAGGAGAGAGGCCTCAGGAGACAACTATCCTGCCCACATCTTGCTCTGGAACTTCCAGCCTTCAGAACTGTGCAGAAATGAATGACTGTTGTTTTAGCCCCCTCATTTGTGGATTTCGTTATGGCAGATCCAACAGACGAATGCAGACCTCAGTAAGAAGAAAATGGGTTAGAAGAGCACTAGGGGCCCTTCATGGCTATTGATGAGGCCCTCTTGGACAGGCTAAAATCACTGGGTATTTTCAAGGGCAAGCATTATGAATCCAGCAGCAAAGCCAATGGAAGTTGTTACAGTTAATGTCAGCCAATAAGAACTGCTATGGTTTGAATGTCTGTCCCCTTCAAAACTCGTGTTAAAATTTAATCCCCAACATGGCAATATTGAGAGTTGAGATCTTTCAGGAAGGCTCTTCCCTGATGAATGAATTAATCCATTCATGGATGACTGGATTAATAGATTAATGGGTTATCCTCGGAGTGGGACTGGCAGCTTTATAAGAAGAGGAAGATCTGGCTAGCATGCTCAGCCCCCTCACCATGTGATGCTCTGCATTGCCCCAGGACTCTGCAGAGAGGCCCCACCAGCAAGAAGGCTCTGGAGCCCCATATACAGCCTCTCGACCTTGGACTTATTAGCCTTCATAACTATAAGAAATAAATGCCTTTTTAAAATAAAGCACCCAGTTGTGGGTATTCTGTTATAAACAACAGAAAACAGAGACAAGAACCTGGAGAATAAAAGACCCACCATGAATATTGAAACAAACAAAGTATCTCCTCTTCATGCCAGTCCTTCTAAAGGCCAAGCCTTGTAGATCTTGGATTCCCTCTTCTCTCTCATTACTCATATTTATTCCCGTATGGAGCTCGACTGTGTTTTCCTTTAGAATGGCCAGCGGGTCTGCTCCTTCCACTCCGTGCACATGTCCACTTGTGCGTCTGAGTCTTCACCACCTACACCGAGATGGCTTCCACAGTCTCCTCTCTGGATCCCTGCTTTCAGTCATCCTCTCTCAGTATCCATCCTACATGGTTTTACAGAGAGCTAAAACCACTCTTTCATCGTGTCATTCCATGAATATGTATTTGGTCTTCAACCCACTTCTTGGCATACAACTCTAAATATCCTGGAATGTCCAAAGTAGTGTCTTTTCATGTGAATGAGTTGACTGATGGCTGACAGCTCCTAGGCAGCTCCTGGACAGGATGGGGCTGGACACTGAAAAGACCAAACCAGGATTAGAGGGTTGGGACTTTCAGTCCATCCTGCAGCCTCTGAGGAGGAGAGAGTGGCTGAAGATTGAGTTGATTGCCAATGGCCAATGGTCTAATTAATCCTACCTACATAATAAAGCCTCCATGAAAACCCAAAAGGACTGGGTTTGGGGAGCTTCCAGGTAGCTGAACGGGGGGAGGTTCCTCAAGGGAGGCATGCCTAGAGATGGCAAGGAAGCTCTGCGTCCCTTCCCCCCTACCTTGCTCTATGCACCTCTTAATCTTTATACTTTGTAATATGCTTCATGATAAACCAGTAAATGCACATGTTTTCCTGAGTTCTGTGAGCCACTGAGGTAAACCAATCAAACCCAAAGAGGGAGTTGTAGGAACCCCAACTTGAAGCCGTTCAGTCAAAATTTCCCCAGACCTAGACTTGTCACTGGTGTCTGAAGGGTGAACAGTCTTGGAGACTGAGCCCTCCACTATGGGATCTGACCCTGTCTCCAGGTGGAGAGTGTTATAATTGAATTGGAGGACAATCAGGTTGTCCTCACACATCTGGTGTCAGAGCGTGCAGTGGTAGAGACACAGTTTGAGTTTTCTCCACTCATACACTCTTACCCAGAAGTCTTTTCCCAGTTCCTCCATACTTTGTCCCCTCTCTGTGCCCACTGTCTCATTTGTCACTGTCACCTAAGACTTGCTGGACCAGTTCTTTATCTGGCCTTGGAACAAGTCAGGCCGTGTTCATGCATCGTGACCATTCATGCTGCTTCTCTTGCTGAAACGTGCCATGTGGGTATTAGGGAAACCCTTTCTGTGGATTAGAGAAATCTCACCTATTTCTCAAACTCCAGCCTAAAGACCCATATCCTCCAGAAATCCTTCGCTGACAACTTTATCACACCCTGAACTTTTTTTCCCTTTTCAAATTTTACATCACACTTTTGGGCCACTGGGCATATAATTTAGTATTTCATCAATTTCTGTAGCTGTATGTTAGAGTTTTCTTTAAGGAGCTCGTCTCATTTAACTGGTCCCTTCCCCTGCTGTCCTCCCATCAGCATTATTCTTGTCTGCACACGTCAGTTGGGATGCTCATCAGATCACAGTGCTCCTTTGCTCAAGAGCCCCCACGTCTTGTCATCTCACTGGAATAAAACCCAGCATCCTCAGCTGATCTGCGAGGGCCTTTACCAGCCATGCAATCTTGGCTGCAGGTAACAGTCATTTGAAGAACTTTGGAAAACAATCAAGTCTTGGCCCCAACCTATACAACAATTGAATTAAAATTTCTCAGAAATAAGTGCAGGAATTGGTATTAATTTTAAATGTCCAAGATGAAACTTTACCAGAAGATAAGCTCCATGAATGTAAAAAAATTGCTTGCTGTGTTCACTGCTGAATCCCTAGGTCCTAAGACAGAGCAGATATAAATAGATTGAATACATCTTTCAAATGAAATTGTACATATGCTTGAAGATGGAAATCAGAGGTAAAACTTATTTTTTCATATTCATATTACTGAGCATTCGGGGCTTGAAATGCTGGAATTTGTATTCAAATTTTCCACATTTTATTTTTAGCAAGTTTGAATCATACCTTACTCCTTGACTCTGAGGCCTAAATGTTTTCAATCTTCTCAACTGCTAAGTATCCATTGCAAAAATGGGGTGCTTTCATGCACAACAGGTGAAGTGAACATTCATTTTCGTTAACAGTCCATCAGTTTTATTTTAAAAAAACTCAATGTCTACTTAGCTTTTATCTCTAAAAGATAAAAGATTAATCCTTATCTATCATTCTGTGGCTGTCCTAAGTTCCTATTGTGATCTAGCTCATGCAAAGTGTCAAAGAGCATGGAAAACATACTTCCCACAACAAGGTGTTGATGACCCACACTGTGGCAAGCACTGCCCAAGTAATTTTGCATGGATGATTTTTAAATTAAGAAACAAAACATGTAAGGCAGAAATAGGTGTTTTTAATTTTAAAGTCAGAGAAATTAATGTTCAGAAAGGCCAGTTTCTTGTCCAAGAAACTGCGAATGAGTGGCAGGTTTGTTACACTGATCCGAGCTGGTCTGATGATGAAAACCTGGTTCTTTCTGCTACACTGTGTTGTTTTCCCAGTCATCTACCTCGGGTAGGAAACAACTCCTCCCACCGCAGACATAATGGTGCTTACTACTGTCAACAGGCTTGAGACCACTGGGTGAGAAAATTCGGGAGAAGAAACCTGAAAAATTCCCATCAGATTTCAAAACACATTTGACAGAACATAGCAAAGAGGCTGAAAGTGGACAGGCGCTGAGCCTGTTCTTCCGGAAGGCCGATGGACATGAGCTCACTTCTGTCCTCAGCAGGAACCTCTGCCCCGCCATAGACTCCCAGTCCCCATCAGCCTGAGCAGCCGAGACAACAGGAAACAGATAACAAAACCCTTGTCCCTCTGCCCACAAGGTCGCTGGTTGTGTTGTAGGTAGGTCTCAAGGAAAGGTCAAGCAAAGCTTCAGCAGCCCCCTGGAGTTGAACATCTGAGCTTAGAAGCCTTGGAGAAGGAGTCTCTTTGAAAATGAGGGAAGTTTAATTCTTTTTGAATGCTGGCAGAAGTCCAGGATGTGAGAATGTTTTCTTTCTTTTGTGCAAGTCAAGCAAGCAAAGGGAAAAGCGTGTGTGTTTGAAGGACGGTGGGAGGGGAGTTACTATTTTGGGGCATGACAGCAGCAACGTGGAAATGCGAAGTCTGCCTCCAGCCCCAAACTCCTGAGCAGAAAGCGGGCAGAGGCCACGGACGTGGCTTAGAGTGGGCTCTACTGGGAAGGAGCTGTGAAGTGACAGTGGCAGAGGGAGGGCGTGCTGCTGCTTTCCTTGGTCTTATTTCTTTCCTGTGGAGGTCGGGGTGGGTGGGGAAAAGGCTGAAGAAGCTGGAAGAAGAATTAAGACGTCTCTTAAAGTATTCGTGTAATGAAGAAGTGACCTGTGGTCAGTTTCCTGGAGGGTTGTATGTGGCCCCTCGAGTGTGATTAGCCATGGAAAGCAGGAATAAAAACCTCGTGGTAATGACTTGCTCAGGAAGGCAACTACTGAGATTCTAGAAAAATAGTTAAAATGGTTGCTTCATAAGCTGAATACAAACTCTGACAAGAGGAAATGCTGAAAGTCGAAAAGAAATTGGAATGGCTTGAGGGATGTCTAGAAGATACTCACAATCCACCCAGAACTGATCTTGAGGCTCCACGTCTACCAAGAACTTGGTAGCCAAATATCTTTGGGTTTTTTATGCTTTTTATTTTTAGTTGACACATGATAATTATACATATGTATGGGATACATAGTGATATTTGTGTACTCAATGTATAATGATCAAATCAGGGTAACAAATCCACCAGCTCAAACCTTTATTATTTCTTTGTGTTGTGAACATTCAAAATCTTCTTTTCTACTTCTTTGAAAATATACAATAAATTATTATTAACCATATTCATTCTGTGGTGCTGCAGAAGTCCAGAACTCATGCCTCTTATCTAGCTGTAATTTTTTTTTTTTTTTTTTGAGACAGAGTCTTGCTCTGTCACCCAGGCTGGAGTGCAATGGTACGATCTTGGCTCACTGCAACCTCTGCCTCCCGGGTTCAAGTGATTCTCCTGCCTCAGCCTCCCAAGTAGCTGGGATTACAGGTATGCGCCACCACGTCTGGCTAATTTTTGTAGTAGAGATGGAGTTTCTCCGTGTTGGCCAGGCTGCTCTTGAGCTCCTGACCTCAGGAGATCCGCCCGCCTTGGCCTCTCAAAGTGTTGGGATTATAGGCATGAACCACTAGCTGTAATTTCGTATCCCATAACCAACCTCTCCCCATCCTTTCTTCTCCCCATCAGCACCTCTCCCAGGCTCTATTCTACTCTTTAGTTACGTTAGTTCATTTTTTTCTTTCTTTCTTTTTTTTTTTTTTTTTTTTTTTGTTGTTGTTGTTGAGACAGAGTCTTGCTCTGTAGCCAGGCTGGAGTACAGTGGCACGATCTTGGCTCAATGCAACCTCCGCCTCCTGGTTCAAGTGATTCTCCTGTCTCAGCCTCCCGAGTACCCGGGACTACAGGGCTGCAGCACCACGCCCAGATAATTTTTGTATTTTTAGTAGAGACGGGGTTTCACCATGTTGGCCAGGATGGTCTCAATCTCTTGACTTCGTGATCTGCCCACCTTGGCCTCCCAAAGTGCTGGGATTATAGGCGTGAGCCACTGCACCAGGCTGAGTTCATTTTTTTTTTTTTAATCTCCTGCATACGAGTGAAATTATGGTCTGCCTCAGACATTGCATTACCCCCGGACCAGTAGGAAAAACCTGGAAAACAGAGCATGTCAGTGTTCTACCGTCTAGTTTATATTCCTTTGATCCTTTAACATTCCTTCAATTCTGTGCAGATGTGGTGCTAGCTACAAAGGAGGGATATTAGAAAATCATAAACATTGTTTGAGTTGCACGTGGGTCTGCCATGCAGGCAGAAGGATGCAGCGGGAGTGGGGCGCACCAGGTGGCTCAGTCTGCAAACCCAGGTGTGAAAGAAACCAACTTCATTTTGAATGATTAAGCCCAGTTTCTGTTAAGAGCCGAGATTCCCCAAATCCAGTGGGGCAGTAATATTCTCCCATTTCCTAAATTCTGCGACTCATTATTTCTACAGAAAAATGTGGTCTAGCCTGGGCAACATACAAAGATCCTGTCTCTACAAAACTTTTTTAAAAATTAGCTGGGTGTGTAGCCCCAGGCACTCTGGAGCCTGAGGAGGGCTGATCCCTTGAGCCTAGGTCTTCACGGCTGCAGTGAGCTGTGATCACAGCACTTTAATCCAGCCTGGGCGACAGAGCGAGACCCTGTCACTTAAAAAAAAAAAGTGATCAGAGTTCCAAGGTTCAATGCCAGCAACACCTCTCTTTAGTAGGAATAGGGGTTCTCTTCCTTGCTCAGTGCCCCTGCAGACAGCACTGGGAGCACACTGTCTCCATGGAACAGGCTTCAGAGGATTGGACGTTCAGGCTCAGCAAAGGGAGGAACAGGGACATCGGTAAGTCACATGCACAAAATGAGACAGAAAATGAACCCTGCCTGATCTGTCTCCATTGTAAGACTACACGTGGAATGACACATTCTTTGCTCTCTGCGGATATGTCATCAGTTTTTCCAGCAGGTTTAAAAAATGCTAGTTATTGAGTGTTTTCTTGTAATTATTCAGAAGAAAAACATATCATCTTCATTTTGAGGAACATAAGCAAATTTTTCAGTGACCTCTTTTACCCCAGTAAACCCATAAAAATCTCACAGAAGAATGAGCTATAAACAGTTGCCAGGTCCATGGCACCATTTTATGGCAGCAGCAATCAGATAAAATGTTTCTCACCCCTTCCTTACATCTCCTCCCTCTTCACCACCCTTGACCATGTCCAGGTCAGAAACCTGGCAAGCAAAACAGAGAAATAGAGAAGAATAAAACCCATTTTCCTCCAGCCCCTATGCTGCTGCCACTATAGGTCGGCAGAGGCAAGGGGTTGAAGATGTCATGCGATGTCAACCTGGAGTTGTGTATCATGTGGACTGAGCATTATGGTTTCCTAATTTATTTTGCTTTTGAATCCTAAAGTGTTGGTAGTATTTTCTATTACAAAACAGTGACCAGACAGTCTTGGAGATGGCCTGATTTTTCATCCAGGAGCAAAGGAGGGATACCTCTAAACCTCTTTGAGAAGGTTTCAAAGGGTAGTAGAAGAAAAGTAAACATTGCTTTCATGATTTCACCCCTCAGTCTTGCTTTTCGATGTACCCATTACATAGTTACGGACACGCTTCTCCTTTGTCTTCCAACTTCACTTGCAATCATTTCACCAAGTAAAACAGAATAGATTAGGAGTGCAGACCTGTAACAAAAATAGCCCATTTAGACTTCACGGTGTGCAAAGTAAATGTCTCCTGGAAGCTAGAAAGTGGATCCACCCTTTCTTCTTCCTGCACTGTCTTCCCTTGCCCTCCTGATTTGAGGCTTCCCAGTGATGCCTTTCACCCCTTCTTGCCTACACAGGGAGCATTTTGCCTGATATTTAACCAGGATTTTTGCTCTTAATCCATGTTAAAGCCAACCCATTGCTTCCCCCAACTTCGTCTGCCTTGCCTCCATGTGGCGGGAAGGAAATTACAGTCTCTGCCATTCTGTGTGTCAAAGGAGGTTTGTTTATCCTACTAGTAAAGTCAATAGACCAGTGACTTCCTGCCAAGGACTGCATTCTGGGACAAGAAAGCCAAGCTGATAAAAGCAATTGTTCTGAAAAATATGCTCATGGTGCACCTGATAGCTCCTCTCCCCTGTGAACCCACCTATTGAAGAGGAAGCTGAGTGTTCCATGGACCAGGGTGGTTCCAGTTGCAGGTCACTGCCCTGCTCACAGGAGACTTTGGGCTCTCACCAGTTGTGGGAACCTCGGGGTGGAAATCCACAGGATGTGCTCCCTAGAGAAGTGATACTGGAGACCACCCTGCCCTGCTCTGGCTCAGCACCCAGGGCTGCACCTGCTCAGGAGGTTTATTCAACTGAGCTCCCAATCAAGGCAGTGCTGGGGTTCAAACAAGTTGTCTCCGATGGGCACTCGCTATTTTGGCAAGACCTGTTCAGAGCAACAGCCTGACTCCATTTTCTCGTGATCCTCTGTGAGCCTAGCCAACTGAAGTCTCCTTTGAACCTGTGAGTCTTAAACTACGTTCCTGCAATACCTTGGTTTGATGTGTTGCAGCCCTGACCACACTTAGAATCTGTTGCTCAATGTCAATCTTCCCAGATGGATTTCAGACGAGGGAAGGGAACTTTGCCTGGTCCAGCCGCTGCATTCTCTATGTCTGCCACTCAGTAGTACTCAAAGTGATTCAAGAAGATTTTATTTACATTTGATTCAGATGATATTAGAAATGGACACTACCATCCTCAGAGCATGACATCCTCAGAGTTGCTACTTGCTGTTTAGCCAGAAGTTCTGTGTAAGAGAGGAGTTTAGGGTTTAGGTTTCCGGATTCCTGTCCCTGGGTTTGATGTCTTAATTTCCACCACATTCCACATTTCCCTCAATACTCCTTCCAAAGTAAGGCACATGCCTCTTGGCTTACCACTGGTAAACACGGCATGTCTCCCGATAATTACACAAAGAAAGGAAGAGAAGTGACTTGAGCAGACTATTTCCAAACAGCGTACATCACTTCCCTCACTGCACACGCTGTACAGAGTGCTCCAGGGAGGACGAGGGAGAGTGCCGAGTGCAGCAGTAGAATCGCAGGACAGCCAGGACAGGAACATGCCACATGGACATGTGTTTTTGGTGAAAGACCAAATGCTGAAGAACCCAGAGGAAAAATCTAATCACCACATGGCATTTCCCTTAGTGCAGTTGGCCTCAACATGCTGACCTGCCCACAATGAGCAAGACCGACGCAAAATCAAAGGCGTCTCTGAGGCAGGAGGCTTCCCACACAGCAGCAACCTGGCACCCGACTGACCTGGGTCCTCCAGCATCTCAGCAAGGGTGAGGAACTCAGGGTCGCTTATCAGGGTACCCTGTCCTGTGGCTGGGCCAGATCACCCTCTTCCTGAATCATCCCGACATCTAAGTACTATCAAAAAGAGATGCTTTTCTTACTTAGCAGCTGGACTAGTTTGGCTCAGAGAAAGTCACCCTTTTGGGAAGATGACAACACAGGGATGAGCATCTGAAAGCACCATTGCCTGAACTGTGAGGCCTGGGATCTCTCAGGCATGGAAGGGAGAGAGGTGAGCAAGCATCCAGCGCCAGCCATGCGCCGGCCATGCCCCAGCCCCTCGAGCACCACTCCTGTTATTCAACTCTCATGATATTCTCGTGGGGTGTTTAAAAAGTGATTCTCCCCATTTTACAATAAAATAAGCAGATCCAGGTGTCTCGGAGTAAGCAGTCTACCCAGGAAGCAGAGTGCAATTTTAAACCCTGACCCCTGACATCAAAGTCCAGCCATTCACTGCCAGGACTCAACAATGACCTGCTGCACTATTGAGCCAGCACGTACCTGGCTGAAGAAAGCTTTTCTCTAGTACCACAGGGAAAAGCTACACCAACTCGGAAATTATCATGGCTTATTTATATGTTGATGCATATTTCATGTTTTTTAAAAAAACAACTAAATATCCTTTTAGAAAAATGGATAAATATCCGGTTAGGTTTTCTTGGGTAGGTTGTGAGTCCCTGTATTGTTCAGTGCACGTATGCAGTTGATAACTTCCCAGTATCAGCCTTCCTTCCTACATTTGTTTGCCCAATTCTTTGATTATTTAGGCTTTCAGAGCCACATTTAGGCTTGCTGACCCAAGAAAGCATTATAGTCTTAACCCAGACTCAAGCTCTTCCTATATTTTTTTTTCATTTTACACTCCACTTTCACTAATTTTCAGTGAAGATTTTCATCCCTGTTATGAGTCATAAACCTATCAAAACCTCTGGGATTCAGCAAAGGTGGTGCTTAGAGGAAAGTTCATAGCCTTAAATGCCTACATCAAAAAGTCTGGAAGAGCACAAATGGACAATCTAAGGTCACACCTCAAGGAACTAGAGAAACAAGAACAAACCAAACCCAGCAGAAGAAAGGAAATAACCAAGATCAGAGCAGAACTACATGAAATTGAAATAAACAAACAAACAAAAAAAAAAACAACAAAAAAGATAAATGAAACAAAAAGCTGGCTCTTCAGAAAGATAAATGAAACTGATAGACCATTAGCAAGATGAACCAAGAAGACAGAAAATCCAAATAACCTCACTAAGAAATGCAACAGGAGATATTACAACTGACGCCACTGAAATACAAAAGATCATTCAAGGCTACCAAGAATGCCTTCACACACATAAACTAGAAAACCTAGAAGAGACGGATGAATTCCTGGAACTTTGATGCAACTCTTAAAAGAGTGACAGGATCAGAAGTTGCAGCTCTTAAGAAAGCTCCCATCCTAACTTCTGAAAAGGTGGGAGAAATAATCAAAGCCATATTTACTGAGGATTACACACCACAGGGATGAGAGTCATGGTAAAAGGGAATAACAATGCAAGCCTAACCTTGACTCCAAGGGCCCTGGCAGGAGCTGCAGGCATCATGTAGTGAGATGGCTCATTGTCTGCCCAATGGCAAGGGAATTTACAAAGAAGACACGTGCACCCCGGGTTCACAGCAGCATTACTCACAATAGCCAAAAGGTGGAAGCAACCCAGGTGTCCATCCACAGATAACTGGATAAACAAAATGGGGTATACAGATGCAATGGAATATGATTCCATCTTAAAAAGGAAGGACATTCTGTCCATTGCTGCAACGTGGATGATCCTGGAGGACGCTATGCTCAGTGAAATAAGCCAGTCACAAAAGGACAAATATTGCATGATTCCACGTTTACAAGGCACCTAGAATGGTCAAATTCATAAAGGCAGGAAATAGAATGGCGGCTGCCAGGGATTGGGAGAGGGGAACTGGTGTTTAATGGACACAGTTTCAGTTTGAGAAGATGAAAAGAGTTCTGGAGATGGATATGGTGACGGCCGCACAGCAATATGAATGTACTTGACGCCGCTACACTGTACGCTTAGAAATGGTTAAGATGGTAAAGTGTACGTTGTGTGTATTTTACCACATTTTTTTAAAAGGCAAGAAGTGCTTCTGGGGTTCTAGCAGTTTCTCCCAGCCACAGTGCCTAGAGTGCATTATGGAAGAACTGTTTTTGGGTATTAAAAAGACAAACCTGTGTTTGGTACAGAACTCTATAGTGATGGCTTTATACCCTGGACTGTTTTAATTAGAGAATTTTATTCCTAAGACCTACCAATGAATTTTATGATATACCTTATTCTGACAAATATGTAAGTGAAGAATCAAAAGGCTAAGGATTTTTTTAAAACATTGGTTTTCAGTTTATCTTTGTTTAACCAAATTCTTTACCCAGTGGACTTTGCCAGTGTGTTTTGGGCACTAGCCATCCGTAATTGGTGAGAGAAGTACTGCTTCCGGCAGCCCTTGCATTTTCCTCTAAGCGCCCCCCCCCCCGACACACACCCCTCCCCGTTGTCTTTGGTTGAGGAACAATGGGGCACCAGGATGGGGCGGCTCCCAGAGGTGGGCATGACCTCTCTGCCCCGCTGTCTGTTTTCCTCCCTAGCTGAGCCCTGTCTGTCCCAGCACTCCTCTGTTCCCAGCTGCCCCTGCCCTGTCTAGCCTGCTATGGAAAGGAGGTCATCCCCTAGCTGCTGAATACTCACCCACCTACCACGCCGAGGACAGCTATGCCGTCTGTCCTGGTGCTCGTGTGTTAGAGGAGAGACCACAGATCTGTTGTACAGCAACATGAATGTGCTTAACACACGGAACTTGAAAACGGTTGTGGAGGCAAATGTTATGTTATGTCTTTTTACCATAATTCAAAAAAATTATTTTAAAAAAGTGGGGACTATAGGAAGAAAGCAACCCAATCACTTCATGGGGAAGAGAGGTGGAGGTCCAGGCATGAGACTTCAGGCCAGTGAATGGGGAAGAGAGGTGGAGGTCCAGGCATGAGACTTTAGGCCAGTGAAGTGTGTGGTGTTTGCAGTGGAGCAGAGAGGAAGGCATTTTACAGGGGCCCCTCCTGTCCCTGGGCCTTGTGAGCAAACCAAGGCAGGACCTGGGCTGGGAGGAGATGCTGTACCTGACAATTCCTATGTGGCTGAGCAAAGGGAAAGGGAGAGAAAGAAGGTTCCTGCTCAGCTTGGCAAGATACTTACAAGACTAGCAACTTCACAGTCAACAAGCCAAAGCTGCGGGCATGAGTAAGTATGCACTGAACCAACCTCTCTGGTGCCTGGATGCCTGAGCCAGGCCCTCTTCAGGGTTGTACAGGGCTGCCCTGAGGCTTTCAATCTGTTCCTTCCTGGAACTCAGAAGTTTAGTGAAAACCACAGAAGCAGAGAGGTTGGAAAGAGAAAGTTCTGCACCCTTCCCTGATTACTTCCCAGTGGGGGCTGGGAGCGTCTTCTCCAAGGTGGGTTTGCAGCAAATCAAAGTCTTCTCTTTCCTGGTGAATTCCAAGCCATCTCTCTTTTCTTCTCTTATTTGTCCTGTTCTTCTTATCACTGCCCCCTCCACACAACTGACAAAGTGACCCTAAGCCTTGACACATGCAAGATGAAGCTATGAGCAGAACAGATGCCACGCAGAGCTGCGAGGTTGCACAGAGGCCTGAGGGGGCCTGAGAGCACAGCTGTGTGGATGAGGAGAGAGTGCAGGGCAGCCCTCCCGGTGTGCGCACATCTATCTGCCTGGCTCCAAGTCGGCAAAGTGGATGGCTGGCTGGTGGCTGTGCCTCAGACATCACTGATAATGGCTTTCGGCTCGCCCAGCGATGGAGCAATCCTCAGGAATCCGGAGCCCTCCTCCCTGGCAGAGGTCTAAGTAAACGGCAGCACACCTTGGTGTGTGGGTGGCAATTAATCAAAGCAGTCTATGAGTTCTCCTTGCAGAATTTCTTTTATTTCTTTGTTCCTGGTCCCCACCCTTTGGTGTGGTTCCCTTGGGACTTTTTTTCTTCCTGGAGTTAGGGTTATGTATACATGCATACCATCACTCATGCCAACAAGTTAACAAGAGTTTACATCCCCCACCCCATGGACAGGGCAGGACCACCGGTCCATCCACCCAAGCACTAGACCCGCTCAGACATGTATTGACCGTGTGGCCTCTGGCATGTAACTTCTGTTTATTGACTGGAAAAATTTAGACAATGATGTCTGTTTTACCTATTTCACATATACGGGAGAGCATTTTAGCATCTTCCACAAACGTTAAATACCTAGGAAGGGAAGGGCCCTGCCGCTGATGGCACTGGTGAAGGTGTGAGAGCAAGCTCAAGATTCATGGATTTCTTCTTTCTTTCTTTTTTTTTTACATTGGGTGAAATTAAACCACTCATTTTTACAAAGTGGGGGGAATCCTCCCCAAATATAGACACACACACACACACACACACACACAGATTTGAAAGTGTTGTTTATAGTTCTTAAATACTAGATTAGGATTTAGAGACACAAGGTTTTAAAGTGCCAGTTGATTAAGTATCACTGGAACAAGCTTATGTTTTAAAATTAAGGGTGAGAAGCCACAAAGCAAATCACAATTGTGATTTAATTCATCACAATTTAAAACTGGGTAATTCTGGGGTTTAGTCACACCTATCCATGGTTTGGTTTTAGGCTTTGTCATCGTCCTGCTGAGAGGTTTGTGTGTGCATCTCCGGAGTGAGGAGGCCAGCCTGGATCTCCTGTCACGGCCCCTGAGCCATGTCTCTTCTTTCAGAATAGTGCCAAATATTGGACATGAGTTTCATATCCCTGTGGTCCAGAGTGGTTTGCACACAGAGAGACTGGGTGTTTCTCCCAGTTACAAATGGCGTGCCTAAGGTCCAGCACCAGCAGTCAACTCCCATGACCATTGACCACTGAGAACAGCAGCCCTGTACCACACAAAGAAACTAACAGTCCATGAATGAAATCCCAGACTGAAAGACATGTGATCTCTTGAAATACGGGGTTCTTTAGACAGAAGCCACTGCCTGAGCCCAGCAAAGTTTCGGGGAGGAGGACGGCAATCCTGTCCGCCCCCTTCTTGCTGCTCACTGTCAAGGGCTCTGCATCCATTTCTTTTATTGCCTCTGATGGCTGAGATGCTTGAAGAGTGGATAAAAGCTTTTGCTGATTAATTCATGAATATGCCTGCCGTACAGTGAATGCCTAATATAGATCAGGCAGCGTGCAGACCTGCTGCATGAATTACGTGTGCATTGCTCAGAACCGCCTCATGGGACGGATGTTAAGAGACAAGAACACTGAGCTGTATTAGCTTATTTGCCCAAGGGCCACAGAGTTAGAGTGGGGAAGTCTGGGCTCCCTGCTCCCAATTTTTTGTTATTGTTGCCCTCTCAATATTGCACAGAAATTGCAAACATTATTTGGCTGTATTTCTAAAACCATTGGGGAGGAAGGAGATAGCTGGAAGGGGACATGAGGCAGAACCTGCCAAGTGGCATCTAACTCCCTCCTGGTGCACTTCTAAGTTATCAGTGTCATGATTCCCAGGCAGTGTTTGTTCCTGTGGATTTTGAACCATGTTCCTGGAACACCTGTGCCCCAAAGATGTGCTTCCGTGGTTCTGCAAACATTCTCTTCCAATTTAATTTTGCAAACAAACAAACAAACAAACAAACATTTTTTAACTGTTTAGAAAACCACAGAAAAGAGCACGTTCTCTTAAAGGCATTATCTGTAGGCTTTTCTACACACTATCAACCACCACTGCAATTACCTGGGCTATGAGTTTAAGCCTTTGCTTTGTTTTGTTTGAGATGGAGTCTCGGTCTGTCGCCCAGGCTGGAGTGCAGTGGTGCGATCTCAGCTCACTGCAAGCTCTGCCTCCCAGGTTCAAGTGATTCTCCTGCCTCAGCCTCCCAAGTAGCTGGGACTACAGATGCATGCCACCATGCCTGGCTAATGTTTGTATTTTTAGTAGAGACGGGGTTTCACCACATTAGCCAGGCTGGTCTCCTGAACTTGTGATCCGCCCACCTCAGCCTCCCAAAGTGCTGGGATTACAGGTGTGAACCACCGCACCTGGCCTAGTTTAAGCCTTTTTAAAAAGACTTTTAAAAATTGCCTTCTCTCCACCCCTATATATACGTTTTTACTTGTTATCCATAACTCAGCAATGGAAAAATGCAATCCTGCATTGATCTTGTTTTAAGGGGAAGCGTGTTGATATCCAGGCAGGTAAGGGCACACTGGCAGCCCACCTGCCTGGTACAAAGCCAGGGAGGGCCAGGGAATCTGCACAGCACAGCATTCATCTACGCATAACCATTTCTGAATAACTAACTGAACGCATCACGTTATAGCTTGTTTAAACATAGTTTGAAATGCTTTTTGTGTGTAACTATGCAAACAATTCTGTAGAACAGAATTATTATAAATTTGGAAATTGAGTTTAAGTGATAATTTTTCATTATTTTCTATTTTTTAGTTAAAAAGCTGAAAACGTTTAAGAAATTTAAAATGAATAGGAGAGACTAGAGTCAAGATCAATAACAAATCATGCTAGACAGCAAAACTGATATTTCCATTGTGTCAACTCTGCTAACAGCAAGACATAAAATCAATGAGATGAAAAATAAGAAAGTGTTACATATTTTCCATGAGGATTCACCTTCTAAGATAATCAAATTGCCTGAGTCCTCGATATTTTATGAATTTTTAGAAAACAGCCTTATGGACCCCACCAAGATGAAACATCATGAAATTATCACATCAAAACAAAACTATATAGAGTATAAACATAACGCTCTATTTTGAGCATAAATTGAATAATTCAAAGTTGTAAGAAATGCATACATGCACAAAATTCCAGCAATGGAAAGGCATTTAAAGTGTCTGCATTAAGTTACTGCATTATGTGTGAGGGAAGGCACATCCTTTAGGCTGCACCTGGTTGTCTGTGATGCCACTGACTTTGTGTTAAGTGTGTTAGATGAGCAGGTGCCCACAGAAACGCAAGCTATAGTACTGGCATCCACCCAGCTAATAAAGCCGTAAGGCTGGTCATCCTTCTTGACATTTCCCTCCCTCTTACCCCCACATTGATGCCATGTCCATTCCACCTCCCAAATCAATGTCAAATCCCTTCCCTCCTCTCCTCCTCTTTCTTGGAAGCACCTTGGACCAAGCTATCATCACGCAGGCCGAGACTGCAGCAAGAACCTCCCAGCTGTTTACCCAGCTTCCCCCGTTGCTTTATTTTAAATTCACCCCGTCCTGAGAACTCAGGATGCTATTTTAAAACTGTGAGCGCTAACACGTAACTCCCCTGATGAACGTTCGTCTGTGGCCTCCTGCTGCACTTAGCGCACGATCCACGTGCATTTTCCTACAGCCGGGAGGCCTGGCACAGTCCGGCCCTATTCATCTCAGCCTTGTGCTGCGCGCCCATCCTCTTCCACTCCTGGCACACACCTCACCTTCTCCCTGTGCAGGATCCACACTTGCCACCCCCTCGCCTGGAGGTCCCTTCCCTGCACCCCCACACGGAGGGCTTTTTCTCCTTCTCAGGCTGCCGAGAACACACCCCCTTCTCAGAGGCTCCCTCCGTGCCTCTAAGGCCTTACCATCCTCGGTGTTCCTCCTCCAGCGGCTTGTGAATTCCTTCTTGGTGCTGTTTACCATCTGGATCCACTGATGTACTCGCTTGCTTGTTTATCGCCCGCCCCACCCCAGTAGCCTGTAAACTCTATAAGGATTGGACAAGAATTGATCTTGTTTGTCATTGTATCTCCAGCACCAGAACCCCCAGCACCAGGCATGTAAGAAATACAGTTTTCATCACAACCCAAGACACATATTTGTGTGTATTTTTATTATCTGTAATTCGTTCTGACATTTTCTATGCTATCACACTTACTCTATCTCATTTCCTTTAAAGGCTGGTTGTGATCCAATAGATTTCATAACTCACTGAAGAGTCCCAACCTGTCATTTAAAAACATTATGGTAATGCAAGTTACAGAACAAATGTTCAATATTCCTGATTCATTTGGATGCAAAAATGTTGTGAAATCTTTATTCAAGTGGAATAGACAAACTGTCGATTAGTCTTCAAAATGGTGAGGACTCGGGCAATTACAATTTCACTTTAATTAATTTAATTTAGTGTTGTCATGCAGTGAATGCAGGAATTTTTATTATTTTGTAAAAGCGAAAAAGATAAGAGGAGGAAATTATTATATATTAGTTCATTCTTAATATACTATCCAATATATCATATACATTCATAGTAACGCAGCATGACAGCCAAACTGGTGCTGCAGAAGGAGCAACAAGCTGGCCGTCAGGAGCCATGACTCCTCCACAAGCCATGGCAGAACCGTGTCCTGCAGAACCTGCATGCTGCATGGGCAAATACCCACTAGAGAGAGCCACAGTTTCCCAACACGGGGACAGTCACATCAGAATTTTCCAATTTTATAAGAGAACATTTTTTATCTTGCTTCATTTAT
Source organism: Homo sapiens (assembly GCF_000001405.40). Taxonomy (NCBI): domain Eukaryota; kingdom Metazoa; phylum Chordata; class Mammalia; order Primates; family Hominidae; genus Homo; species Homo sapiens. The sequence continues at coordinate 1,034,709 of NC_000006.12, read as the reverse complement.
TTTATTTACTAACTTTGAAATAGGATATATAATTTTTAATAAATAGAAATTATGATGAGAAACTATATGTAGTGGCCGGGTGCAGTGGCTCACACCTGTAATCCCAGCACTTTGGGAGGCCGAGGCGGGTGGATCACCTGAACTCAGGAGTTTGAGACCAGGCTGACTAACGTAGCGAAACCCCGACTCTACTAAAAATATAAAAATTAGCCGGTCATGGTGGTAGGTGCCTGTAATCCCAGCTACTCAGGAGGCTGAAGCAGGAGAATAACTTGGACCAGGGAGGTGGAGGTTGCAGTGAGCCGACATTGCCCCATTGCACTCTAGCCTGGGTGACAGAGCAAGACACCATCTCAAAAAAAAAAAAAACCCGAAAAAAACAACTATATGTAGTGAAAAACCTCCCTTTGTCTCAGACACCCAAACTCCACTCTTTGAAATGGTTTAACAGTTTTGCATATACTTCTAGAGATGTTTTCCATATATTCTCTTTTAGAAAAAAAAAAAAGGCACTTACACTTCTAAATCATGTTTTTTTCAAAGGCTTACGATAAATTTGAAGCATTTATCCACATCGGTGCATATGAAGCTTTCCCATTTCTTATTTCAGTTGCGTAGTATTCCACTATGTGGGTGTACCCTCAGGTATTTAACCAATCTCACATTGTACATTTAGCTTATCTCCAATTACTTGCTACCAGAACAATCATCTAATGAGTAATAACCTCGTACAAACCTCACACAGGATAGGTGTAAGTATTTCTGTAGAATAAATTCCCAGGAATGGAGTTGCTGTGTCAAGGGTATATGCATTTATAGTTTTGATAGATATTGCCAACTGCACATAGCTGGGGATGTAATCATTTATTGTCCAACCAGCAATGTGTCGGCAGATCTGTTTCCCTACACTCACATCAACATGGAGTTTTGTCAAGCTTTTTGGTATTTCCCAATTTGATAGGTGAAAAATGGATCTCAGTGTAAGTTTAATTTGCATTTTTTAAATAATGAACGAGGTTGAGCATCTTTTAATATGCTTAAGAGTAATTTGTGGTTCATTTTTTGTTGTCTGCTTATATATTTTGCTTATTTTTATTGGGTTATCAGTCTTTTTCTCGCTGATTTCTAGTATATATAGCTGAACAGACATGCACACACACATACACACACATACATACAATACACACATATAGCAGGGAATTAATCCTTAGCCCATATTATGAATTGCAAATCTGCTTTATCATTTTTATTGTTTATGTTTTAAATTTTCTTCTGGGGGATGTTGCCATGTAGAAATCATTTCTTTTTATGTAGTTAAATTTATCAATTTTTTTCTTACTTTATTTTATTCATATTAGAAACAGCTTCTACATTATAAAATTATGAGAATCAAAAAATTCTGCCATGATTTATTCTATTTTTTAATAGTTTATTGTTTTCCATTTTAAACATTTATCTGTAATTTCTCAATAAACCATATATTAACATTGTTTGAATCCAAGTTTATGTTATCTTCCAGTTGGCTACACCATTTTAGAAAACAATTTGTGTTTGTTGAATAGTGTATCTTTTCCCTGCAGATTCAAGTCTGTGCCTTTACACATATTGCATTTTCGGAGTATATGGCTCTATACCTTGACGTTATCTACTACATATTGATTTGTCAGCCTATAAGTATACCAATGCCTCACTTTTTAAATTATCTTCATTTTATAATATATTTTCATAGCTAGTAGGATAATCTCACCATACTACTACTTTATAATGTTTTTCTTTTCATACTCAATGCTAAAAGACTGAAAGCTTTCCCCCTAAGATCAGGAACAAGACACGAATTCCTGCTTTGGCTATTTCAACTCAGCATAGTATTGGAAGTTCTAGCCAGAGCAATTAGGTAAGAAAAAGAAATAAAAAGTACCCAGATTGGAAAAGAAGATGTAAAATTACCTGTCTGCAGATGACATAATCTTATGCGTGGTGGCTCATGCCTGTAATCCCAGCACTTTGGGAAGCCAAGGTGGGCAGATCACGAGGTCAGGAGATCGAGACCATCCTGGCTAACACAATGAAACCCCGTCTCTACTAAAAATACAAAAAATTAGCCGGGTGTGGTAGTGGGCACCTGTAGTTCCAGCTACTTGGGAGGCTGAGGCAGGAGAATGGCGTGAACCCAGGAGGCGGCGGTTGCAGTGAGCAGAGATTGTGCCACTGCACTCCAGCCTGGGTGACAGTGTGAGACTCCATCTCAAAAAGAAAAAAAAAAAATCCCTAAAGTATTCATTAAAACCTGTGAGAGCTAATAAAGAAATCTGGCAAAGTTGCAGGATACAAAATAAACACATAAAACTCTGTTGGCATTTATAGACACTAAAAACAATTCAAAAAGGAAATTAAGAAAACAATCCCATTTATAATCATGTAAAAAGAATAAAATATTAGGAATAAATTTAACCAAGAAGGTGAAAGATTTCTCCATTGAAAACTACAAAACATTGTTGAAAGAAATAAAAGATTATATAAATAAGTGAACAGTTATCCCATGTTCATGGATTGAAATATTTAATATTAGGATGACAGTACTACTCAAAGTGATCTACAGAGTCAATGTAATCTTTATCAAATTCCCAACATTTTTTTCAGAAATAAAAAGCTCCTGATAAAATTTATGTGGAATCTCATGGAACCTCAAATTGTCAAAACAATCTTGAAAAAGTAAACAAAGTTGAAGAACTAACACTTTCTGATTTCAAAATTTACTATCAAGTGATCAAAATAAAAACAATGTGTTACTATCACAAGGACAGACCTATAAGACCAATGTACTGGAGTACAGTCCAAAAATAACAAACAGCCAGTTGATTTTCAACAGCTGCTAAGACCATTCACTGGGGAAAGGACAGTCTTTTCAACAAATAGGATGGGAAAACTAGATGCCCACGTGCAGAAGAATGAAGTTGGACTCTTCCTTTACGTCATACACAAAAATTAATTCAAAATGAATTTAATACCTAACCTAAGAGTCAAAACTATAAAACTCATGGAAGGAAACATAGGGGAAGATCGTCGTGACACTGGATTTGGCAATGATTTCTTTGATATGACAGCAAAACCACAGGCAGCAACAAAAAATAGATAATTTTGGACATCAGCAAAATTTAAAACCTGTGCATCAAAAGAGTGAAAATACAACACATGGAATGGGAGAAAATATTTGCAAGTCATATATCTGATAAGGAATTAATATCCAGGATGTATAAAGAGCTCTTACAACTCAATACTTGCAAAGAAACCCCCACAAACCCAATTCAAAAATGGTCAAGAGACTTGAATAGACATTTCTCTAAAGAAAATATACAAATGGCTGGTAAGCACATGAAAAAATGCTCAACATCAGTAATAGTTACTGCAAAGCCACAATGAGATACCACCTCACACCCATTAGAATGGCTATCATAAAAACAAAACAGAAAACAAGAGTGGGCAAGGATGTGGAGAAATTGGAAAACTTCTACATCATTGATGCGGTAGAAAATAGTTTATGACAGTCAAAAAAACTAAAAACTAAAACTTTCCATCCCCCATTTTCCAGACATTTAATTGTAATTACTTTGAAAAGTTATAATATTTATATTCTCCTATGTAACAATAATTTTCTCAATCTTTAAATTTATTTTTTCTCATTTCTTGATGATTTGTTTACCACCAGAATTGCTATTACATTTTAAAAACTGACCTTATTAAATATGTATATTTAGTTAGCCTTATAATTATATGTAATGTTCACACCGAGTTCCTTCATTCTGCTACTTCTGCATTTCTGAATTCTTTATTTTGATTTCTTTTTTAATAAGGTAAATACACTTTCTCCCTTTCCAAATCCTGGAGCATTTTCTCATTTATCTTACATGCTGAATGTTCCTGGAGAGATGCTTGAGGTTCACCTTCTTTTGTCCTGTACAAAGGACTTGCTTTCTGTCTGGATGTCTACAGCATTTGTGCCTTATCCTTAAAGCTCAGAAACATTCCTCAGTGTTGATAATATTGTATCTTTTTTTCCTGGTACAAAATATTCCTTTTGTATCTTCAGGTTCAGATTTTCTTTTTATTTTTTATTTTTTATTTTTTTATTTTTATTTTTATTTTTTTTATTTTTATTTTTGAGACAGAGTCTCGCTCTGTCGCCCAGGCCGGACTGCGGACTGCAGTGGCGCAATCTCGGCTCACTGCAAGCTCCGCTTCCCGGGTTCACGCCATTCTCCTGCCTCAGCCTCCCGAGTAGCTGGGACTACAGGCGCCCGCCACCGCGCCCGGCTAATTTTTTGTATTTTTAGTAGAGACGGGGTTTCACCTTGTTAGCCAGGATGGTCTCGATCTCCTGACCTCATGATCCACCCGCCTCGGCCTCCCAAAGTGCTGGGATTACAGGCGTGAGCCACCGCGCCCGGCCTTTCTTTTTATTTTAAAAATGTTCTAACTCTTCTTGTCTCTGTATTATATTTGAGTACTTTTACTTTTCTGTTTATTCTCTTCACCTCTTCAAGAACACCAATTATACTCAATTTAGTTCTTTTCTATTCTACCTGAGATATTTCTCATTTTGCTTTTATTCACTATCTCTTCTTTCTTAGTTTATTCTTGGGTGATTTTATCAGATTACTGACTCTGTTCAGTGGCATATAATCTGATTTTTTTCCTTGTAACATTTATATTGTTATCTTCTATTGCTGTTCTGGGTTCTGTAATTTCATTTTATATCTCCTGTACAACTTTTTAAAGGTATTTTCCAACCATCCCCCCAAAATAGTCTTGTTTACTCTTCAATGTATTTGAGAGTACGGAGAAGTATTTGAGAGTACAGAGAAGTATTTGAGAGTACAGAGAAGTATTTGCCTAAAATTTTATTCTATTACCTGCGGCAATTCTTCTTAAGTGAAGTCTTCTTAGCTCTTTGCTTGTGATTTTCGTTGGCTGTGCATGTGGTACATCTTAGGTCCTTTCTGAATATTACTCATATTTTTATTGGAATGGGTATTATTAGCGCCAGCTAATTGCTCAAAAAACAGGGTGGGGAGTGCAGAGAATGTGTGTTAGTTCATTGTGCCTAATTTACAAAGAAAATAGGTTTATTTGGCTCTCTGTTCTGCAGACTGTACAAGAAGCATAGTGTCAGGAACTGCTTCTGGAGAGGCCTCAGGAAGCCTTTACTCATGGCAGAAGGCAAAGCCGGAGTGGATGTGTCACATGGCGAGAGAAGACGCAACAGATGGGAGAGGTTTCAGACTCTTTAATAAGCAGCTCTCCCGCAGCAGCAAGTCACGCATGAGGGAACTGCTCCATGACCCAGACACCTCCCACCAGTCCCTGCCTCCAACACTGGGGATCACATTTCAACAGGAGATGTGGAGGCCACAAACTAACTATCTCAGAGCATTGGCTGTTACAGTCAATAACTTTTAAACAGTTCTGCTGTCACCAAATACCTTTCCCCCCACAAAATCTCTGTCTTCTCTGAGGACACATCCCTTTCCTTAGATTTGGGGGCATCACCTGACTGGGGTAAAATGATGCCCCACACAGGAGCTGGCAGTGACTCTCAGATGCCTCTTAGCTCAATGGTTTGTGACTTACCATTGATTTTTCTCTATTCGTACATCTCGGGTTAGCATTTTCTTCTGTCTGGCTCTTTCTCCAGGTTACGAAGCCATGTCCATAGAAAATAGGCCAAGAATTCCAGAGGCAACCTCCCGCCCACACGCTGGGGTGGAGGCGGCCTGTTCCCTAGTGCTCCTGTCACTCATCTGTGCCGGCACCTTTGGTTTTCACCATAGGATCCTCGGATTCCTCAAGGCCCTTCACCTCCAGGAAAAGCTAAGACTCTCAAGAGGTGTGTGTCAACTTTGGGGCAGTTGCCATTCAGACCCCCTTGCAAGCTCTAGAAAACCCAACTGAAACAGCCCTAAATGTAAACACTCTATTTTCCCCCACAGAGCATCCCAGAGGCATGTCTGGCTTCAAGTGAGATTCATCCAGGCCTTAAACAACACAGCCATAAAACAGTTTCTATTTCTCAATTCCGCATCCTCAGAGTTGCCCCAATTCTCTAGCAACTCCTCCACTGTGGTCTCAAGAGCCTGGCTGAATCTCCTGCCCAACTCCATGTCTCATTTACTTCCAGTAGGAAAACACTGCCTTTCTAGAAGATCAACAAAAGGGTTGGAGCTAAGTCCTGCAGGTCCGCATGGACCTGACTCGGACTGTATGTCCGTTCTCGAACACATCACCCCAGCCCAAGGGTGGAGAACGTCAACCCCCTCCAGCTAATCAGGGCCGCCTACTGCTTGAGCAAGGGAAAGTTCAATCCCATTGAAAGTAACTCAGCAGGATGTCACAGCACAGTTAGGAAAGAGGAGTCGATGTGGTAGAGGCAGCCAGGAAGTATTCTCAGCAGGTCAAAGCGCCACTTGAACTGGTAGAAATTCTTTGTATTCTTGAGCTGAAAATGTTTCCTTTTCTTAATTTAAAATGGGGTCTTCTACTTTATTTTTATTTTTTGTCCATTTTTGTCATTTTTAGAGATAAGGACAGTATGATTGCTTGATTTCTTATCTTTAATTGGAAGTCCTAACTTAGCAATTTTATCAGCTTCATGATTTGGCTTTTTCTTTATTCATTAAGCCAACATATTTTGAACATGTGTCATGTGGTAGGCATTGCTCTAGGACTGGAGTTTTGACAATGATGGGGGCAGACGTTGCCCCTGCCCTTTTGGAACTTATAGTCTAGTGTGTGAGACACAACTGGGAGGAAATAAGCTCAACTTAAAAAATGTTTAAAACCATCAAGCTATTCTGGCTAATAGTCTTCCTTCTTTCCTTCCTTCCTCTCTCCCTCCCTCCCTCCCTTCCTTCCTCTCTCCCTTCCTTCCTCCGTCCCTCGCTTTCTCCCTCTCTCCCTCCCTCCCTGCCTACCTGCCTCCCTTCCTTCCTTCCTTCCTCCCTCCCTCCCTCTCTCCCTTCCTCCCTGCCTCCCTCCCTCCCTTCTTCTGTTTTTTTCCTTTCTATTTATTTAGGGGGAGGCACGTGAGGGATGACACAGGATTGAGTCATGGAAACTGCTCATGGTAATGAAGGGAGTCCTAGGCAAGAAGGACCTCTCCAGAAAGATGCTGCACATTTCTGCTTTTTCTTGGCTTTCAGTTCTTAAGGCTCCCAAAGAAAACTCCACTTGCACAATTTCTCCTTGTTCCTTCGGCCTTTCAGCAATTACCCAGCCCATTCCCAAAGCCTGGGACTCTGTGTCATCTTGAATGGTTCACGCCTCCTTGTTCCTGATCTTCTTTCCCCACCTCCTCCCATCCTTCCTGCCCCCAGTTCCCCAGATAGTAACGAAAGCAAGGTCCTTGGGTCCTGGGAGCACCCACATGTTCTTTTGGGAGGGCTGAGTGGCTACTGACAGCAAGAACAGAACCTAGGGCCAGTGTCGCAGAATTCCCAGAGCTGTGCCAGTTTAAGGGCTACCCACAGGCATCTCTATGCTTTGCCATTTGCCCCTGTAAGAAGTAAGGTCGGGAGTCCTGGAGAAGTCAAGCTCAAGTCGTCCTTTGTAACGACACTAAAGCTCACCTTGAGTTCACTTCACACGGGCCAGTCACAACCACTTAATTCTGTCCTCACAGCCCATCAGCAGGCACTGTGGTGTTTCTATCTTATGGAGGAGGACGCCAGGGCTTGCCCAACGCTATCACCTTGCCAGAGTCGTGCTGCTGAATGATGGCAGATCTAGGGTGCTGTCGTGGGTGTCTCTGTCTCCCTCCCACATCCCAGTCTCTACCCACCATACTCCCTGGAAGTGGAGAGCAATCACAGATCTGCTGGTTTCTTTCTCTGCACCTGGCAACCTCTGGAGGGCAAGGCCTGCACTTTTCCAGCTGTGACACCAGCCCATGTGTCTCATATCATTTCTCTCTCATGTAGCAAGAATTTCTCCCCAGAAAGGAGGTGGCAAAGATGGGCAGGGGGTGCAAAGGTGGGGGCTCTGACAGCCAGGTTCCAGGGTGCACTGCTGAGCCAGCCCACAACCATGGTGAGGCAGGGAGATTCCGCAGGACTCCGTATCCGTGCTTTGAAGATGGCTTTCGTGCTTTTAGTCTTTTCTTTGTTCATTTGTTGTTTGTTTTCTGATGATGTTTTAGTAAAAAGTTCTTTTGAAAATCCCAAGCTTTCTCAGCTGTGCAAAGGGGAACAAAGAACAGGGCTTTGGTGTTTTGTCCGGACTTGGACAGGTGTCCCGCTGAGGAAGTGGCCTGTCCCAGCCCCAGTCGGGTGGTGCTGGGAGGGTGGGGAGAGAGGCAACCAGGCTCAGCTTGGCCGGGGCTTCTGTGTGCCCTTCCGTCGGCTACCTTCCTCCTTTAGAGCTGTCTTTGTTGGATTTGCCCTTTTCCATAAGGAGCCATCGACCCCTTTATCATCCAACACAATGGAGGTTTATGAGAAACATATTCCAGGAAGGTTACCAATTTTTCCCTTAAATAGACCCAAGTCAAATTGCTGATCCTCCCAATCTCATCCTTGCCACTGTGACCAGCCCTCTAGGAGGGAAATCCAGTGAGGCCCAGTGGGTAGAGAACATTCCTGGCAGTTTGGCCCACCCTGGGGGGTGTCCCTGAATCCTATTGAGCATCAGCTTCCAAACCCAAAAAGGAAGAAACGCCACTGACTTCACAGGCCTTCTGTTATGATTGAAGGTGGAGCTGCCCAGTAACCATACCTCTGTGCCAGCACCACCACAAACCCTGGAGGACTCGGAGGGCAGAGCGCATTTGCACTTTGTGCTACTGAGGCCAGAGTTTTTGTTAGGCTAAAAGGGTAGAGAAGGTGGACCATGTGTACTCAATGGAACCAAGGAGGGCAGAAGGCGGGTTAGAAATTGGTTTGGTGGCTAAGTTGTTCTCGGCCATTCCAACTCCTGAGAACAAATTCTGCACACCTCTTCCCATCCCACATCCCAGGACATCACCCTGGAGCCTTGGGAAGAGCCATGGTGAGTGTGTTCACATCACAGAAATCAGGAAATGCTGCAGGATTTTTATGATCACTGTTGGCAGGTTATTAGAGAAAAGTTTCTAGAGTCTTAGTTATTATTTAAATAAGTAAAATCTGACAACGTAGAGGCAGTTTAATGATCCATATATTATGAGCACCTCAGTGTTAACTGAACGTTATCAATATAGGCTTAATGTTTGCAATGAATGACTGTCATACCACAAAGCATTCCATTATTATACATGGAAAATATGTAATTTTTTCTTAATCTAAGGTATGTTTTCCATTTAGCATGGTTGGTTTTGGAAAGATGCTATAAACTGACTACAAAAAATAAAATCCAGGGAGAAATGAAATCAGATTTTTAAAAATATCTAAAAATGGGACAGGCGAAATCAACGTCAGTAAAACACAACTGTAATGTCTTAAAGGATAATGGGATTAATTTCACAATTGAGTTCCAAAGCATCCTCACAATTATTATTTGTCAAGAAAGATCTACAATGTGCATTTGTGTTAAAGACAATGACTGTCACTTGGAGGAAGTTTTATTAAAAGGACAGTAAACCCGAGGTTGTTCTTGGGAGAATGCATTTTCAGATAGTCCCAAGTAGCTTAGTTTATTACATATTTATGTTCTTCAATGCAAGTCAGCAGGGGACCCACTCATTACATTTAGTATATTAAATACTTCATTTAGAACATCTTACAGTGGAAATTTCCTGTTTTTTTTTCATTGCTGTTTGTTACCCAAGAGCAAACCGCAGTGTCTCATAAAAGCATCAGCCTGTCTTTGGTCCTTGCAGAAAGCACATTGAATAAACATCTCTCCACAGCGGGGTTCCTGGCAGAGCACCGCCCCTGAGTTTAACTTTGCTAACTTGGCACTGTGATTTTTTCCTAGTTGTGTCATAATAAAGAATGCATGCTCCTTCAAGCTCTAAGAACCCCTGGTTGCCAGCTGTGCAGAGGCAGCATTCAGGAAGTTCCTTGCAGGCAGTGCGGTGACCCCGTGGGGAGGGATGTGACTGCCGCGTCCTAGTTTCTCCAGACCTCTTCGGCCATGACATCGGGCTTTGCCTTTTGGCCACTGAAAGAAAGTTCAACATCTTCTCTAAACAGAGCAGAAATTAATTCCTCATGTCCTTGTTCTCCTAGCGATTTTCTCATTACAGTTACAATAATGAAGTTGTCACGTGCAGTGGGCTCCAGGAGCCATGGAAAGACCTCGGGAAGGAAGAAGGGTGGCTTGTGCTCCCAACTCCACTGTGGTCCTGAAGCTACACCCACCCAGCTCCAGCCAAGGAGTGCAATTGGCCAGCGGCCTCCTGCCAGGCCTGCACACCTGCCCTTCACCTGGGTCAAAACCATGCTCCCCACAGCAGCCAGCCAACAAGGAGAGACGGGCTGCTGTGAGTGCTGGCTTTGGTGAGGACCCACAGCAGCCTATAGGGCCCTCCTTAGAGGGTACAGATCTGGGACTTTCCACCCAACCTTCAGTCTCGCTGACCTTATCTTGGGGCTCATACCTGCATGGTGGGGAGGCCTGCCTCTTAGCCCTCTCCACTTTCTCTCATGCAGGCCTTTCTCCCACTAGAATCTTTGCAGACTTCTGCTTCTCAGAAGACCCAGACTCACAGGAGTGGTACCAAGAGTGGTCAGAGAAAAAAGGTGACAAAATATGGGTTTCGGTCTAGATCGTGAATTAGCTAGCAGGTAGAAAGGTCTCCATGATGACTGGTGGAAGGGCAGAGACTCATGTCCTCCTTGATAAGGGATGGCAGCTCGATTGCTAAAGATTTCACTGAGGTGGGCCTTGAAACACCGCTCAGTGGAGGATAATGCAGAGACAGGTGCAATGATGGAAGCATTTGGAAAATATTGGGGGAACAATGTCTACAAGACAGCACAGTTGACTGGTTATTGCAAAGCTGAATTCATGTACTGCAGAAGGAAAAGGAGTCTGGGATGTATTAACTAGCAGTTAATGGTCAAGTGTGAGAGCCAGAGAGCTTCAAGGATAGCTTCTGAAGGGACCCTCATCACCTGGCATGGGTGGGCAGATGCAGTTGAGCAGCAGGTACTTGTGAAAGTGTCAGAGCTCTGGAGATGTGTGGGTGCTCAGTCCAGGCATTTCTGTGATCTGTGAGGCAGAACCTTGGTGGGGAAACCTCTGCATGGCGTTCCCTGTGGACGCTGACTCTACAGTCCCTGTGAGTCCTCTGAAATTGCAGAGGTGGCCCCGCCATATCCTAGTACAAGCGCAGAAGCTTCCCCAACAAGCAACAGGCATCCTCCCCTCTAGGAGGCCAGGGCACAGCTAGGCTTCAATCCCAACAGAACCCAGCTGAGAATATGCTGGGCTTGAGAGGGGAGGAAAAGACTTTTCATCCCAATAATGGAAAGGCCAGCTGGCATGTGTCCACATGGGAGCTAAGGGAGTATGCCTGGGATTGGATTTTGAGGGTGTTTGATCAGACTGTAAATCAGATAAGCAATAGTTAGAAGTAATTTTTTTCAGAATATAAGATTTAACATTGTAGACAGGATGTCAAGAAATGAAGCAAAGCTCCTGGGGTGGCTCTTGGAAGACTGGGTCTTTTTGGGGATGATGGGGCCCCAAAGTAATGGGGGCTAGAAACCAGAGGCCACAACAATGATGAATAGGAAGGTTGGAGGGGTGGCCAAGGGGGCCTGAGCTGCAGGGAGTTTGGGGATGGCTGATACAGCAGATTGTTCTTAGCCTCAGATAGGCCCACAAGGGTGCCACCCCATGCCTGTAATAGTAATGGTAAAGAAGGAAGAAGCGGCAGGCTGAGGACTGCCTCTCCGCAACCAAGACAAAGCCTCCTGCTCAGTCCCCAGGCATACCCAATTTCAGACTTGAAACCCATTGACTGAAGAGCTGGCTTGTCCTGCAAATACAGATTCCTGCAGCATGGTGGCCAGCATATGAGCATTCCCCCAGTCCTTCCTCAAGGGCACCTAAGGCCATTTACTCATGTGACTTTAATCTGGGTAGGGGGAATTACCTGACATTTCAAAGACTATTGGACACAAGGTCTGAATTTCCAGGGATACCTAGAGATTCCACAGAGTCATCTTGGCTTTCCCGGTAGAGTAGGGGACCTGGGGGCCAAGTCATTACTGGATCTGGCTGTTGTCCAGCTCGCAGTGGGCCTGCTGGGTCTGTGGCTTCAGCAGTGGTCTTTCCCAGTTCTTCAGTGGACTGTTAGACAAGAGCTACAGAGCAGGTGGAACTACGCCCACATTAGGGTTCTTGGTTTGTGGGATAAGAGCTATCATAGTGGGAAAGGCCAATTGGAAAAGGTGAAAACCCCCGAAGCTGCCCCCTCAACCTCGCTGAATCTTGGCAGGAGATGGGAAAGAAAGGCAGACTGAAGTCCACCATTAAGGACCTAAAGGGTGCACAGTGTTGGTACCGATCACTGCTCCATCGAATTGTCAGGCTGGCCCCTGCAGAAACTCTATGGATCCCAGAGAACGAATGTCGACTACCACTACTACCAGACTTAACCTAGCAGTAGCCCAGATCACACCATTAGAGCAGATTAGCAAAGCACCAAGAACGGGGCATGTGCCTCTTAGTTTGCCAGTGCATGCTCGACCATTCCATTTGGAAAAGAGGACCAGAAACAGCTCACATAGGACTGATGATATGCACTGCTAATTTAACCACAGTGCTGTATGAACTCTGTGCCTCTTGGCATTGAGACGTGAAGCCAGCTGGACTTCCTGGGTCCAGTGGGGACTTGGAGAACTTTTCTGTCTTACAAAGGGATTGTAAAATGCACCAATCAGCACTCTGTAAAAACGCACCAATCAGTGCTCTGTAGCTAGCAAGAGGTTTGTAAAATGCACCAATCAGTGCTCTGTAAAATGGACCAATCAGCAGGAGTCTAAAAGTAGCCAATCACAGGGAAGATTGAAAAAAGGGCACTCTGATAGGACAAAAACAGAAGATGGGCAGAGACAAATAAGGGAATAAAAGCTGGCCACCCCAGCCGCAGTGGCAACACTCAGGTTCCTTTCCACCTGTGGAAGCTTTGTTTTTTCACTCTTCACAATAAATCTTGCTACTGCTCTCTCTTTGGGTCCATGCCTTCTTTAAGAGCTGTAACACTCACCGTGAAGGTCTGCTGCTTCATTCTTGAAGTCAGCAAGATGAGACCACGAACCCACGAACCAACACTAGGCACAGCATGAGCAGTCCTGGACTGCTTGGCCTAACTGTAGAATACTGTAATGATCAATGACTTCATGCAGACTGAACGAAAGAAACAAGAGGGGGCTCATGCACTGAGAGAGTAAGGAAGACACATGTGATGCTGCAGGTAGGGGGTAAACCCTGCAAAGACTCGGGAGTTGACCACTCCAGTGAAGATTTTAGGGGCCAGAAATTAAGGAGTGCGAGGATTTTGCTCCACAGTGAAAGATAAGTCACTGCATTTTGCATTAACTACTACAAAGAAGTAAGCATGGTGCCTGGGTTCTGGTGGCAACTCATCCCATTCCTAGATTGTGTGTGACACAGAAGGCTTCCAGGTATACCGTGGTGGGCAGGAAAGGGCTGTGCTGTGGGTCCAAGCTGTGGTGCATTCATCCCTACTGCTGGGGCCACACAATCTTGCAGACCCTATGGTGCTGGAGGCATCAGTAGGGATCAGAGGCAGCTTGGAGCTTCCAGTAGTTCCACAGAAGAGCCACAACACAGGCTCCTGGGATGCGGGAGCAAGGCCTTGCCATCTGCAACAGAGGATTAGGCAGCCTTGAGAAATGTTTCTTGGGTGCTGCTGGCCTTGGTGAAGGCAGGCTACTTGACTGTGAGACACCAAGTAACCCTGCTTCCGGAGCTGTCCTCAGGAGGTGGCTGAGGAAATGGACCCTGGTCATTGAGAGGAGCTGTGGCTGCTTGTACACAGTGGGGCAGGGAGGAACATGCCTAGGGCTCCACTCGGGTGCCTCCTGGTATACCCGGGTTCCACCGTAGAGGTAAATGGGTGCTCTCAGCAAGCTTGGATGAGAAGAACACGATGACCAAGGGTGTGATCCTTCGGGTCATGCCATCAGACAAGCCACTGAGCCCTGCCAAAGTGCTGAGGGTGAGGGACATTTAGAATGAGTAGCAGGGTTAGGGGATGATTAGTACCAGCTGGGGCCCCAAGTGAATGACAGCAATGTGGCCTACAGCCCATCCCACCTGCCTCCCTCAGCTGTGTCTCCCTCTGCAGAAAGCCCCATAGGGGCCCTGGAGGAGCTGCTCCTGCAGTGTGTGGTCAGTGAGAACCCCTACCCATGGTGGACCCTGGTAGCCATGAGTAGCACAGACCCCCAATTATGGAAGCACACGTGAACAAAAACCCCGGCGTCTGCCTCTGAAATCTTTCTCGACATTTGCTTTTCCCTGGTTCTCCCAGCCAATGACTGAGGACAGCAGGGGCCCTAAGGCCAGCCCGGTGCTGGAAGACCAGGGCTTCTCTGACGTTTGCTTCACAGCTCTCCTAAACCTTCCTCTGGGTGCATGGCCCTCTGGGACGCCGCCATCCAACCTTACCTCCCTCCCTCTTTCACTGGTCAGACTTGCTGCAAGGTCTTACCCTGGCCCCTCACCCATTCTCTTTCACACATGGATTTATGAAGTCCTCACACATCTAAGCCCATCTCATTGTCTTCTAAATGACTATAATCATGTCACTTCACCTCTATGGACTTTGGTTTCTCATCTGCAAATTTACAGAGTTAGAATTTAAGAAGTCAAGGTGTTGTTGGACTTATTCACCTCTCAGAATCTGAATTCATGCCCCACCAAATACCTAGTGCAATGGGGAACTAGTGCATATTCATGAATTTTGTAGGTTACAGTAATTTGAGTGATGGGATGTAAAAATCAGAAAGAAAGCTTTTCTTTGTGGTAACTCCTCTGAGAGCGATTTTCTAACATGTCCCCACACTCCCATTCAGCCCCACACCTCTTCTAACACTGCAGTCACTCGTGAACTCAGTATCTCTGCGTTTTTGTTTCCTGTTCTCCCCAGGCTTCTGCTTCCGTGGCAGCTTGATTCCATGTGTTTGGGTGGAAAGAGCACAGAATAGGTGGGGGCTAAGCCTTGTGTTTGAGCCCCTCTGCCATTTTCTCCCCCATCCTGAAAGACACGGGTGTAGAAGAAGCCTGAGTTTTACCATATGCTTTTCCCAAGAGGCTAAGTTTTAAATAAGTGTATGGAATAGCAACAATTACTTATTCAGTACTTAGAATTCTGTATTTACTATATAATTTTGTCAAATATCCTGGGGTTCATATTATTATCCCCATTTAAAGATAAGGAAACTCCGAAAGGCTAAGTCATTTGTTTAAGGTCATAGAGCAAGCATGTAGCAGAATTTGAAATCAAATGTAGGTTTTTTGGATCTCCCTAAGTCAAAGCATGTTTCTGTTGCTTAACATTTTAATAATGAAGTATTAAAAATCAGATGAGTCCTTCCCAGAACGCTCAATGCCTGAATCATTTCCTCTTTCTGAGGCGTCTAGAGAACAGCCAGGTGTAGCCATGTGACTTTATCTCAAGACTCTGTCATTGCCTGCCATCTTGCCTGTCTTATCCATAAACGCACAGGGCTCTCCGTGGGCAGGGGACTGGGTCTTAATCGTTGTATTCCCACGGTAGAGCGTGATGCTTAGCACACAGGAGATGCACAACAAATACTTACCTAGTAAATGAATGGATGGGTAAAAGAAATGATGGGTTTTAAAGATTGGATTAATTTATGACATGAGATACAATGCAATCTTGGGTAAACCATTGAAGATGTTTTCATCTTGATTCCATTTCTTCATATGTAAAGTTAATACAATTAGGTCTCACTAAGTAACCTCTGAGTTGCTTTTCAGCTGTGAATGTCTGTAATACTAAACAATACACGCATATTATGAAAGCTTAAAATCACATGCTCATGTGCACAGTAAAAGAAGAATAATGAGAAATTAATGAAACTTTTCTCAATTCAGTTGTTTAAGGCAATGGTTAATGGTGATTTACTTAACACTTTTATTATAAGCGTCAGTATTGGAACAACACTAGCTATGAATTGGAAAATGAACTAGTTTCGTGGAGACTCACATGTGCCATTTGTACACTGGCACAAAAACTTAATAAAGCTCAAGAAGCAACACTCACACAAAGAAGCTGCAGTTGGCTGTAAGAAGCCAGTGTAGTCCTTCCTAACGAACATTCCGACTGTTCTTGTAAATGTGGATGGCAGAGTGATATACACACAAACGTGAATCACTAGTTTTAGAAAACACAAATTTCTTAAATCAATAGCATACTTTTTATGGTGACTGTAAGAACAGATTTTTTTTCTTCCCATTCTCAATGTGTTTGGAGTGGAATTTCTTGGGGAAAGCCAGGAAAACAGACCCCATAAATTAGCCTGATGTAGAAAGTGTTTATGTTTATTGTTTGAGCCTGTAACTGAAACAGGATGGGGTTTAGCTCTGGGATGTACAGGTGGAAACACTTAGTGGGAACAGTATCCTCTGCCACACACAAGTATCCTGAGGGAGAAAGACTAGAACATTCCCCAGAGGATAAAGAGCTCTCTGGATTTTTACCTACAAAGTAAAGGCAGACAATCTTTTACCTGGCAGGGTTATTTCCTTGGGTCCCGCTTGTTATTAAGGAGTGACCCCACCGGAATTGTGGTGAGTAGCATCCCAGGTCCACCTAAAAGCAGTTTCATGACCTTCCAGCCCAGCAGCTCCCCTGTGTCTGCCAGTAAGGACTGCACATCCACATGTGGCTGTTTTGCCCACTGGACCTAAAAGCAGTGGGTTTTAAACTCCGATTTCAACAAGGCTATTACAACAAAGCTGTCTTTGACTAAGAATCTCAGAAGCTATTTTTGTGTTCAATGTTTAGTCTAAACCTTGCAAAGTTACCAAGTATTAAATTAACATATATTTTCTTTTAAATCAAATAGAAGTGCACCCTTAACTGCAGTTTTAATTTTTCCGAGAACATGCTGGGATATTTGCTTGATTCTGAGATGTCTTTACTTATTCTTGTCTGCTCAATAAATTATTTTTTTTAAGTGGAGGGAAAAAATTATAAATTAGGACTCCATTCTTCCCACAACACAATGACTTTCAAGTTAATAACAAAAATGTATTATTAATCATAGTATTTAGCATTTATTGAGCACTAATAATGCACGAAGAGTTTGCTAAGAACTTTCCTTTATTATTTCATTTGTCTCACAATTACCTGTAGGTAAATATATCTTATATATCCTGTATTTCTCTCTTTTTCAAATGAGAAATTAAGTCTCAAAGAGGCTAAGTGGACTGCCCTAGGTTACACAGTTAGTGATTAGTACTCCTGGGATTCAGGATCACAAAAGTCCATGTTCTTTCTCCGGCACCTCTGATGTTCATCCCTGGATGTGCAGAATCACTCTGGGAACCTTAGAGCTGATCACCCAGCCCTGGGCCACCTCACATCGGCTGAATCATATCTCCGGGTGACGTGGGAAGCATCCTGCTCGTTCATTTAACTCTCCAGGTGACCCTAACGTGCAGCCACTGCTGCAATCCACCCCCAATCAAGCCAGTCCCCAGTGAACTGTGGGCATTCACTCATAACTGGCACAGCCATCCCCTGAAATCTGTTGCGAGGAACAATACTCAAAGGCTAACTACCAAGTTAATCTGTTTCTCAGGTATCTCAAACCCAAATCAGTTCCCCTTTTCCAAATCTAAACCAACATTTTCACTGCTGCCTTGCCGGTGTTTACTGAGTGCCCATAACATGCGCAGACAGACCTGACATCTGTGTTCCCTGCAGCACGAGCCCTGGGCCTGGCACAGGTACATTTTTATTGAATAAATCAATGAGTGAACGAATGCAAGGTTGAATAAACATACAATGCTTGATGATGTCATAAATCCCCAAATAATCACTTTTTTCCGTAAATAATTTTGTACAGGAGGAAACGGAAGGTTTATACTAAACATGGGGTTCATCTAGGACCTTTATTCAAAGGAAACTTGAAAACTTGGTTGCTGTAATGCTGGTTTGTCATGATAGCCCTTTGATAGGAGGAGTTATTATGACAGGATTTTATGGGGCTGCCATAAATAGTGAGTAAACAGGAACGAGGAAAACAAATGTGACAACCAGGGGTTTGTTTATTTTCCTTATTTATGCTCTGTCTTCCGTCTCTAGATTAATTTCTATGTCAAAGCGTTAGAGGCAGTTGGTGTGCCGGGCTGTAATTAAGTGTGTGAGTGTGTGTCTGTGCATCCGCACTACATGATGTTTAAATGAAGACTAAAAAATTTAATTAAATAAACAATTAACAAGTTTCCCTATGGCTCCAAATGCACTAATAGTTGCTGACATCCCATATTTCAATGTGTCCCCTGGACTTGGGATGTCACAGTTATAGATCTTCAGGTGGGAGGGCCCAGCTTGCTGAGACTGGACTGATTTATTCACCCTCAGTGCTCCCTTGGGTGTTCATGAAGGAGCTCAGATGAACATGGCCACAGCAGTGCCACATTCCTCACTGAGGGCAGCAGTACCAGGATCTATTCCAAATGCATAAAGCTAGTGCTGTGCAGTCAGGCCTCTCATGCTGTGAAGTCATGTTTCCACTGGAGGTGCTGTGTGGTGGGGTTTGAGGAAGGCTGACTGGGCTTAGTTTTTCTGTGTCTTCAGAGCAGCAAATCCCATGACCTGGAGGGCCCTGCAGCCACCCCTTATACAGGAAAGGGCACTCTCTTAGTTCACTCAGGCTGCTGTAACAAAACACCTGACACTGGGTAGTTGTTTTTATGTTACTTTGGCATAAAAATTATCTTCTTTTTCTTTTTTTAATTTTACTTTCAGTTCTGGGATACGTATGCAGAACATGCAGGTTCGTTCCATAGATATACATGTGCCATGGTGGCTTGCTGCACCTATCAACCCGTCGTCTAGGTTTTAAGCCCCACATGCATTAGACCTTTGTCCTAATGCTCTCCCTCCCCTCACCCCTCACCCCCCACTCCCAAATAGGCCCAGGTGTGTGATGGTCCCCTCCCTGTGTCCATGTGTTCTCATTGTTCAACTCCCACTTATGAGTGTGAACACGCAGTATTTGGTTTTCTGTTCCTGTGTTAGTTTGCTGAGAATGATGGTTTCCAGCTTCATCCATGTCCCTGCAAAGGACATGAACTCTTCCTTTTATGGCTGCATAGTATTCCATGGTGTATATGTGACACATTTTCATTATCCAGTCTATCATTGATGGGCATTTGGGTTGGTTCCAAGTCTTTGCGACTGTAAATAGTGCTGTAATAAACATACATGTGCATGTGTCTTTATAGTAGAATGATTTATATTCCTTTGGGTGTATACCCAGTAATGAGATTGCTGGGTCAAATTGTATTTCTGGTTCTAGATCCTTGAGGAGTTGCCACACTGTCTTCACCAATGGTTGAACTAATTTACACTCCCACCAGCAGTGTAAAAGCATTTGTATTTCTCCACAGCTTCGCCAGCATCTATTCTTTCCTGAGTTTTTAATAATTGCCATTTTGACTGGCATGAGATGGTATGTCATTGTGGTTTTGATTTGCATTTCTCTAATGACCAGTGATGATGAGCTTTTTTTTCATATGTTTGTTGGCTGCATAAATATTTTCATTTGAGAAGTGTCTGTTCATATCCTTCACCTACTTTTTGATGAGGTTGTTTTTTTCTTATAAATTTGTTTGAGTTAAGACTTCATGACTAAAACATCAAAAGCAATTGCAACAAAAGCTAAAATTGACAAATGGGATCTAGTTAAACTAAAGAACTTCTGCACATCAAAAGAAACTATCATCAGAATGAATGGGCAGCCTACAGAATGGGAGAAAATTTTTGCAATCTACCCATCCAACAAAGGTCTAATATCCAGAATCTACAAGGAACTTAAAAAAATTTACAAGATACTCAGTAATTTATAAGCAGCAGACATTTATGTCTCACAGTTCTGGAGGCTGGGAAGTCCAAGAGCAAGGCGCTGGCTGATTTGGCATCTAGGGAGGGTGTGTTCTCTGCCTCATGGGCAGCACCTTCTCTCTGTGTCCTCACATGTTCGAAGAGGCTAGCCAGCAACCCAGGATCTCCTTTATGAAGGCACAAATCCCATTCATGACCCAATCTCCTCCCAAAGGACCCTTGTCCCAAAAGGCCCACTGAACTCCCAGTGAGTTCAGAAATGAACTCATTTCTGAAGACATATCTTGCCCCGACTTGGGTTGATTTGCTGTGTTCCCAGGCAACTCATTTAGCCTTGTTGGATCTTAGTTTTATACTTACTTACCTCTCACAATTGTTTTAGGAACTGAAAGTTTCGGGCAGACCCCCAAAACTGGGCCTGGCTTCTTGTGAAATGTTTCTATGAGTGCAAACCTCCCGAATGGCCTTCAGGTGACATTTCATTGCCGTGCCTCTGCTGAGGATTTACACCTGAGTGAAAAGTACCATCATCCCCTGCAAGCATGTGCAAAAACATCTGAAATGAGTATAAAGTACAAGCAGGAAGATGAATAGATCCCTGGGGAGATTTTACTTCACTGATAGGCTTCTACCAGTACTACATTTGTTAAAAAAAATATGCAAGTTGGAACGCTAAGAGGAAACACCCCAAGTCTAAGGAGAAACATCGTTAAGAATAAAGTCTTAGAAAAGCATTTCAATTGGAAAGCCCCATCCCTTGAGTCAGTCCTAAAAGTGGAAAGCGAAAGCACTGAGTGGAGAATATTTGTTACAAAATGCTGAGACTCATGAAAAATCTGTCCTGTAGAGGCAGGACAATAATCCCAAGCAAACATAAGCTTTCAAGTGAAATATGTTTATAAGATGAGTTGTAAGTTTGTCATAGCTTTACTTGGCCTAATGGTTAACTACATCAAAAGAAAAAAAAATCATAAATATAACATGATTTATTAAGCTTTAACTAAAGTACACTTCTCATGTAAGCCCACAGTGGGTTCTCAGAAGAGAATGAGTAGAGCTGAAGTTTCAAGAGAAACACAACAACAAAAAGGCAAAATTGACCAAGACAGAAGAGTGGAGGAAAGTTACAATTCTTGCAGGTTTTTTGAAAATATCAGTTAACAGAAAGTGACTTGAGCTGACAAGTCTACAAATAAGGAGGAGAAATTCGGGGATAGATAAGATGAGTGGGGCTTAGAAAGTGAGAGCAGAGGTCACTGTGGGGTTGGGTGGGGTTCACCACCACAAAAAGCCATTTGGATGTGGGTGTCAACTGTCTGAGGGGGTGTGGGCTCTTCATGAAAGGCCAGAAGACATGGCCTCCTCGTGGGGGATGCTCAATATTCTGGGGATGTACATGGATTCCTTTCCTCCAGGAGAAGCACTAAGGGAGAGGCCACATGTACAGCCACTAATATGCAGCCACTCTGTCTCAAATTGTTCCTACAGAGACCACTCGCTGGCTTTTCCTTGGAGAGGGTCTGGGAAAGCCTGCAATATCAGAGTCACTTCATGAGGAGCCCAGGAGAATAAATAAGACCAAGACTTGTCGGCCACCATCAGATGAAATCTTGCCCATAAGGCCATGGAGTCATATTTGGTGTCTGAAAATCCATACGCACAGCATGCATGGTCTATAAATCCCCCAAATAACGTCATTTACCCATACCTGTATTGTCTTTTGAATTATGTGGATACCATTGTTATTAATGAAATACAAATTTTTAAATATTTGTTACTGAAATCACAGTAGCTTGCAGTCAACACACTTTGAACGTTACGGATAATCATATAGGGAGATGGCCTTGCAAATTTTTGATTTCAAAGCAAATCTATTAAACTCATAACAGTTAGAAATAAGTGCTCCCAAGCTTAAAACTACAGAGGTGAATTCTCTCCTCTCTCTGTAACCAGACCAAGGGCTTGGAGAACCCTGGTTGAGCTCTGTCTTGTTGGGGGGCTGGGGACAACAACTCACAGCTAACCTACCCCAGGATGGCTAAGGTTTCTTCTTTGGGGACTGCAGATTTGGTCAGATTGGTTCTGCGGCATCTAGTGGAGAGAAAAGTCACACCCAGAAGTCAGGAGGACAATTTAGATGAAAAGTATAGACAGCAATAGGAAGCTTTGGGATGGAAGACAAGCAGGGACCAGCTCTGAGGAACAGCAGAGCATATGGGCACTGTGGTAGTAAAGGAAGCCCCTTGCCCTCCAGCACTGTGCCAGGCAGAATAACACCTACGCGCGCGCACACACACACACACACACACACACACACATCCTACCTGTGTGTAGGAACCTGTGACTGTCGCCTTAGAAGGCTGGAGTCGCTTCGCTGATGCAATGAAAGATCTTGAGATGGGGAAGTTATTCTGGATTATCCGGGTGACCTAATGTGATCCCAGGGATCCTCACAAGCAGAGATCTCATCTTTGCTGTAGTCAAAGGGAGAAGCATGTGACCACAAAAGAAGGCTCAGAAAAATGCCATATTGC
Source organism: Homo sapiens (assembly GCF_000001405.40). NCBI lineage: Eukaryota > Metazoa > Chordata > Mammalia > Primates > Hominidae > Homo > Homo sapiens. Next base: position 1,012,125 of record NC_000006.12, on the reverse strand, counting down.
CGACTTTGAAGGAAGGGACCATGAGCCAAGGCATGCAGGCAGCCTCTAGGAGCTGGAAAAGGCAAGGAGACAGGTCCTCCCTGAGATCCTCCAGGGGGGTCAGCCCTGCCGACACCTTGCTTTATCCTGGTGAGACCGATGTTGGGCTTCTGGCCGACAGAATCACAGGGTAATAAGTGTGCATTGTTTTGAGCCAATAAGTTGGTGGAAATTTGTTACACAGCAATAGAAAACTAATAAAATGCCCAACTACATCCTCGTCACCAGATTGAGAGTTTGGGGAAACAGGCTCCTGAGGTCAGTGTTTGGCCTGGTCCTTGGAGCCCAGGACTCCTGGAAATTTCCTTGCCTTCTGTGGATCACACAAGCAGTCAATCTCCACAGATGCCTGAGTGAAGGCACCCAGGGGACCCACAGGATTGGACTCTGCAGAGTGCCTTCAGAGGACTTGGGTGCGGGTCTCCAGAATCCTGGACTCCGGCAGAAACCTTAAAGCTGCTCAGTCAGTGGCCCTGATAAGCCTCTGAAGGAGGCTGCCCAAGGGAGGAAACTCCAAAATAGGCAACTCCATTATTTCTTCAGGAATTGAGCAAATTACTGAGGGAAAAGACTTTGAGAGAAAAACTTATTATTTGCAAGAAAAGAAATTACCCTAGAGTAAACCTGGAAAATAGGGTTTAACTGTATTATTTTTAGGTCACTAAAATTGATTGCCTGGGTTTTTAAAAAATGCTGCCCAATTCAAACCATTTACGGGGGGAGCCCTTTGCAGTACCTGCACATACGTTTAATGATGGAATAAAATGTCCTTGGTTTTTCCTGGGAAGCACATGTTCTTTTGGTCTGCATGTTTACTGCATACTAAAGACGATTGTAGCTCATTTGCCCTAAGCACCAGAAACTGGGGTTATGTACAGGGCAGAGACACTCATAAAATGTGCACTGGGACGTTGGACGTAAGCTTTGCAGTGACAGCTTTCAGAGTTGACATTATCGTGTGTGTGCCTTGTAGCTAGCAGACCAGGAATGCAGAAGCCCAGAACCTCATCAGGCAATATGGGCTTATGAAGCTGATGTCACAATGTGTACAGTAAAAGGATCAGAGCACAGTCATGATCACTATGTAGCGTGTCCTTGTACACTGAGGAGAAAAGCGACCCTAAACTACACAACGAGGCTGCAAGTAGATGTCACATGTGTCCCTGACACTAGGGCCCTTTTGGCTTCCCTGTCTCTTGATGAGTGACACCTTGTCAGTACCTCAAGAGTGTAAAGCAAATTGCAAGAAAAGTAGAAGAGAGATCTACTTCTGCGTGTCCTAGGAGCCAAGAGCAATCATTCTAAGGAGTCTGGGGAAGCCGCTGTGAGGGTTTCAATGACCTGGGCAGTAGCAGAGGAGGGAGGACCCTAGTGTGTGTAAGATGGTTAGGACTGGGCAACCAGAGAAGGTGGAAGGAGGTTCAGTACTGGGTGATGGGGCTCGAGAGGCCAGAGGTAGGAAAAGGAGTGGCTTGTTTAGTGGACAGTAGGCAACTGACAGGAAGGAAGGGAGGGAGGAAATGAGGGAAGAAGGGAGAGGGGAAATGAGGGAAGAAGGGAGAGGGGAGGGAGGGAGGGAGCATAGGTTAATGGTTGTGAGACAGACATGAGTGAAAATAGGAAGAGGGATTAGAGCCAAACAGCAGTGGGTCCTGACTCCCAGGAAGAGGCGCTTAACCTCAGCCTGTTGTCTTTGGGAGTGATTTTGTCACCTGTGACACATGCGTGAGTGACACAAGGGTGCTGGAGGGAGCGTAAGGCTAATGTGTGCCTTCTGTTTAAAAACTCCTTGTGTCTGCGCCATACTTTCATAGAGCTCATAATTTGATGTGTTTGGGAGGATTCGCTGGTCTCTCCAGCCTGGCTATTAGAGAAGCCATCAGTTCCCAGTGACTCAGTGAGCGTGAGGACCTGCCCTGGCTGGGTGTCAGACCTGAGGGAGCGAGAGCAACCATAATTCAGCAGTTAACCCATGCTCATCAAACCCAGCCTCCCTGGCTTTAAACACCTCCTCACCACACCTCTCGCCTCTCTTCCATAGGGGACTGATTTCAACTTTGGGTTTTCAACTTCAAACTCCCTGTCTGAATGTTCCCAGGCAGATGGATGCCCCAAAGCCACGGATTTCATGGAGCTCTGCTGCAAACACGTAGCTGCCTGTGCAGACAGAGAACAGGTGGCCACAGGAAGAATGGATTACAAACAGGGAGAAGCCCATGAACAGGCGCTCCCCATCACTAATCATTAGGGAAATGCAAATCAGTACCACAATGAGACACACAGCCATGAGGATGGCAACTATCACAAAACAAACACAGAAAACAGAAAGTAACAAATGCTGGTGAGGATGTGGAGAAATAGGAACCCTTGTACAGTGTTAGTAGGAATGTAAAATGGTGCAGGTGCTGTGCCTCTTCCTCAAAAAATTAAAAATAGAATTGCCATATGATCGCGCTATATCATTTCAGGGTGTACGCTGAAAATAAAGCAGGGAATCTTAACAGGTGTTCGTACACCCGTGTTCATAGCAGCGTTATTCACAATAGCCAAAGGTGGAAACAGCCCAAATGCATACAGACAGATCAATAGATAACAAAATGTGTGTGTTCCCACAATGGAATGTGATTTGGCTTTAAAAAGAAAGGAAATTCTGACACATGCTACAATGTGGATGAACATTTAGGACATTATGCTGAGTGAAATAGGCCAGTCACAAAAGGACAAATACTGTGTGATTCTACTTGTCTGAGGTTCCTAGAGCAATTGAACTCATAGAGACAGAAAGTCAAACAGGGGTTGCCAGGAGCTGGGGCAGAGGAAAGGGGAGTGAGTGTTTGATGGGGAGGGAGTTTCAGTTTTGAAAGATGAAGAGAAGTCTGGAGTTGGATGGTGGTGATGGCTGTACCACATGCAAATGTACTTAAAGCCGCTGAACTGTGCACTTAAAATTGTTAAACTGGTAAATTTTATAGTGTGTGTGTGTGTGTGTGTGTATATATATATACACATATACTACATATATATATGTAGTATATGTATACCACAATAATTATAAAGAGGCTAAAATGCATGAATATCACACATACACTCACTTATTGAGAGACAATTATTTAGCAGTAAATAGGGAGGTAACCACATGATGCTGATAGATAATTCACCTGCAAATCAGAAGACCTGGAATCTAGCTTTGGTTTCAGCTTTTCAATCCATAGAATCACTTGGGAATGACACTCCTGTGCTTCTCTTGGCCTCAGCCACCTTATCTGTAGAACATGCACTTGGATTAAATAATCCTTAGGATCCTTTCCAATTCTAAAGTTTTGTGTTTCTGAGATGGTTTGTGGCCAGGCTGACAAATCTAGCATATTTGTAACTCAGACTGATGTGGCTACAGTATGAGCATATTTCCTTGTCCAAAAGTAGCAGGATTTGCTTAATATGGTGTAATCTAATAGTCCACAATCCTTAAGTGAGAAAAATGCCTTCTAGAATAATCTCAGGTCAAATAAGCCATTATCTCAGGTCAAATCAGCTAACAACCCTGACTCCAGAAGGCTCTTCTGGACCTGAAGGCTATTTAAGGGTGTGCATGCTAGGAGCATTTCCATTAACCTACCTGGGGGAGCTGCAGAGTCTGGTCTCCCAGTTCCCTCTCCTCCTCAGTACACTGGCAGCTCCTGAGCCTTCCTCGGTGGGCGAGAAACTCTTCAACTCCTGGTGCTGTTGCCATAAGGAAGTTCTGCATCCAGGCAGTCTGTTCTGGTGGCCAAGGCTTCAACTGCCCCGTGTTGCCCAGCTCCAAATGTCGGCATCCTGGTCTCTACTATAGTGTTTGCTCTTCAGTGTGAGCCTGTGTTCTGCCCACTTGGGACTAAAGAAACCCTTCTTCCCAGCCCTGAGCCCAGATAGCACTCTGGCTTCAGACAGCCTGGTCTTAGAGCAAATATGGTTCTTTTAAGATCCACAAAGAGCGCTTTGGTCTAGCACTGACAGTTGAGGATGGGGCAGATGATATTAGAGTCACATCTCCTGGTGTGACTCACTCCTGAGCACAGGCCCTTACCCTCCTAGGAAGAACAGCGATGGCACTCTCCCTGTCCCTAGGATGGAGTCTTGCCATTAGCCTCAGGCTCATAGTTGGAAAGCACGATGGGGGAAATGGGCAGAGACGGCCTCACTGAAGTGCAGTTGCTGACCAGACACTGGCAGACACAGGGATGGCTTGACACGTGTGTGCCAAAGCTCATTGCAAGGTTTCTGCAAAGTCCATCAACACCTGGAGGCACTTCTGCTGGAATCCCAGCTGACCTGCTCCTCGTGGATCTCCTTGCCAGCTGACAGCAAATAAGCTGATCCCAAGTGTGCAAACTGCCTGCATTGCTGTCTTCCCTCTCTGCTTTTTTCTTATATACATCTGTTGTTAGATAACATAGATGAAACTGACCTATGTCTCCTCTGGCACCAAGTAAACAACTGACGATAATCAACAGTTTCATTCCTCCATCCGTCAGGGCAAGGTTTTCGTCTCTTCTAGTCAGGGAAGCATAACTCTGGGGCCTCAAGTCTGAACAATGGCCCTAACGTAGCATTTCATTGCTTTTTGAGGAGCAGGCCATGCACATGGGGACCCTGAACCCTGCTGTGAGCCACCCTCCAGCTGGGGGAGCCTGTCAGGCTGCACCCCATCTCACTTGACTTGGCCTTGATTCACCATCTTCAAACAGGTAGCTGTGAATGGCTTAGGACCATTCTCAGAGTTCACTTCACCAGCTGAGTTTAAAACATCCCGCTATCCTGTGAGAATGATGAACAGCCACAGCCACGCTGGGCCTGTGCTTGTACAACAAACTTGACTTTGCTTCTGCGCTTCCCAGAAGACACTCCAGCATGCTCTGGGAGTAGGCATACTGGGTATTTGCACCTGATGTGCAAGAAAGAGTGCTTGGAAGATCACAGAAGAGTCAGACAGGAGGAGAGCCGAGGGGTTGAAACCCTCCCGCGAACAGGTACCTGGCACGTACCTGGCACACCATTCTCCTCCGGAGAGTGCTGCTCTGTCGCCCAGGCTGGAGTGCAGTGGCACAGTCACAGCTCACTGCAGCCTCAAACTCCCGGGCTCAAGTGATCCTCCTGCCTCAGCTTCCTGAGTAGCTGGGACTATGGGCATGCTACCATGCCTGGCTAATTTTTAAATTTATTTTGTAGTAGAGACAGTGTCTCACTATGTTGCCCAGGCTGGCCTTGAACTCCTGCCCTCAAGGGATCCCAAATAAATATATTTATTTCTAAATTCATTCTAAATGTTTGCAATGTTAAGTATGTGTGGCAAAAGAACAGATACCTTTCATTTTTTCAATCACCTTTCAAATATTGTTACAAAAGCACATATTACTGTGAAATAGTCGTAATTTCAGAAAGAAATTATTCTTCATTCAACTTCTCTTAAGATTTTTAATTAAACTTTTTATTTTGAAAACATTCAGAACCTACAGCAAAGTTGCAAGAATATTACAAGTTAATGATTATATGCTCTTCCCCTCTATTCTCCCACCATTGATACTTAGCCATGCCAACTCTCTCCATCTCTATATTCTACACATTTACAGTGCAATTATCAAATTTAGAAAACTTAACATTGACACAATGCTATTATCTAATATGTGGTGAATATTCAAATTTTGTTGATGGTTACAAAATTGCCTTAAAAGCAACTTTTTCCCCTCAACACAAAATCCAATCTAGGGTGATGCGTCGCATTTAGGTGTCATGTCCCCTTAGACTTCCTTAATCAGGAGCAGTCCTTAGCCTTTCTTTGTTCCATGAGGCTGAAAGTTCGTTTCTGAAGTGCTCAGGGTCTTTTTGTTTTGCTGACGTCTCAGTTTGGGTATCACTTGGTTAAGGTGGTGTCATCCAGAGTTATCTTCTGGAAAGGCACCTTCTATCTTGGATAGGAAGGAATTTAAGAGCAGGCACTAGGCAACTGTAAATATCACCCCACAATTCCACTGAATGATATTAATATTCAGCGACGATCTTTGCCCGGGCCAACAATTATTATGGTGGTTTCAAAGCAGTCATTTTCTGACTCCTTTATCAGTTGGCCTTCTATAAGGAGAGGCTTTCTCATGGATCCCACCCCTTCACTTGCTTGTTTTCTGCCAGCATTCTGTACTCACAGGTTGGTTTCTTTGTCCAGTGAGTTGTCACCCACTACCTTCATGAGCCATTTTCAAGCTCAATTTGTCTCATGTGTGCCCAGTGGCAGCTCCTTCAAACTAGTCCTTGTTTCCTTTTGTCCCCATCATGTTTTGAGCAGTTCCTTACTTTGGGGCTGATCCTGTACTTTTCCTGCCTCAGCCCTGGAGTCAGCCATTCTCTAGGGAGCTGGTTCCCTGGAGTGGGTCTGGCACATGTTTAACAAAGGAAGGAAGATGCAAGAGAAGGAACTCCAACATCCAAATCCTTCATTTAAGAGAGTCTTGAAAATACCCGGGAACAGGGGAACTCTTGCTGTCCAGTGGACTTTAACCTTAATTTTTCCATATTTTCATATTTTAGGCCCTGCATGTTTTTCTTCGGGAAGGCTGTGCAGTCTGCTCTGAGGAGACAGATCAACCTAGCCCTTCTCCAGGACGAACTCCGAAAACCACAGGAATTCACGTTCAAAGGATGACGCATCTCAGAATCAGGTCTGTGTGTATGTGAATTGCTTTTATCTCGTAGGAAAGAAAATCCCCATCTTATACGGCCACTTTTTGACAAAATATGTTCATGCATCCCCAAATCAGAAAAATCATTTGTTACTTCAGTTTCCTGGAAGGAGAAAAGCACTGAATAACTTCTGCAAGCAAGGAAACCTGAGTTCAGTGTGGTTCCCAGGGCCTGCTACCTCCTTACTGACTGAGACCTGGGCGTTTGGCCGAAGCACACATCTCTCAACAGGGGCCACTTATATCTTTATCAAGGGGTGCCTGGGGTGTGTGTGTGTGTGTGTGTGTCTCTGTGTGTGTATGTGTCTGTGTGTGTGAAAAAACAGAGAGAGAAATGAAAGTTGTGGAGGTGAGAAAGTATTTCATAGGTTAGATATTAGTCATCATGAACATTTTTGCATTTAAAATGAGTATCTTATAGGACAGAAGTTCCTAACGCAGAGTTTTTAATTTTGTTTTGCTTTTTATTTTCTAAAATGACCTTTTAAAATAAAATTCCTCCAGCCTGGCCAACATGGCGAAACCTCATCTCTACTGAAAATACTAAAATTAGTGGGGCGTGGTGGCGAACGCCTGTAATCCCAGCTACTTGGGAGGCTGAGGGAGGAGAATCGCTTGAACCTAGGAGGCAGAGGTTACAGTGAGCCAAGATCATGCCACTGCACCCCAGCCTGGGCGACAGAGCAAGACTCCGTTTTGAAAAAATAAAATAAAATAAATAAAATTCCTCCCTACGAGACATGATACCACTAACTCACCCCTCTTCCCAAATTTGCAAATCAAGTTATTAAAGCTCTTTTCAATTCATTTTTCCTTTCTGAACAATGACTATTTAATATAAAGAGTTAACTCGTTCTGTTTTTCAATACAAATAAGAATTACAAACTGTAGAGCTATTTCTAGCAGAAGTACTTTCTTACGGAACCAATTTTTCTTCTGATTAATTCAAATTTATTTTAAACGTGTGAAAGAATTTCAAATACTGTTACACAGATATTCTAAATGTCTAAAATCAACTCTGAAATAAAGTCCCTACCTGGAGCCTCCCTGGCTCACTTTCTCTTCCTTAGCTATTCTCTTTTTCTTTCTTCCTGTATTTTTTCATTGCAAATCTTAAAGTCGTGGTAAGACCGAAAACAAGCAAACAATTAACTGCACAAGGTAACCCCCATTAGAGATAGTGCTGTGAATACCTGCAGAGGGGGCTGTGGAAACAGTGACAGGCTGCACATGGGGTGGGGGTGGGAGTGAGGAAGACCCAGGAGGGGCCTGGCAGGGGAGCCAGAAGGGCAAAGAGCAGCAGGAGCTCCGCAGGACTTAGTGGGTGAGCAGGCGGGCGAGTGAGGGTCTTGCGGGGTGCCGGGAGCAGGCGGGCGAGCGAGGGTCTTGCGGGGTGCTGGGAGCCCGCAGGACTTAGTGGGTGAGCAGGCGGGCGAGCGAGGGTCTTGCGGGGTGCTGGGAGTGGATGCGCTAAAGTCTGAGAAGTGGCCAGGGTCCTGATCGCCGGGGGGTCTGTCGTCCTCAGGGAGGAGCTGGACTTTCCGGCCAGCACAAAGCAAAGCCCTTTGATGAGATGCTTTGCTTCAGAAGTCACCTTGGCAGCTGCGTCAGGGAACGGATGTAGCGGCTCAAGAGTGAACCCGGAAAGGCTCCTAAGGAGGTCCCTGCCTCAGTCCAGGCAAGGCTGTGGCCTAGACGAGGTGGCGGGCTCGTGTGGATGTGGAGAGAGGTGGGTTTTAGGGGTAGAGCTGGTCCGACTTCCTGATAAGTAGATACGGAGTGGGAGGAGTCAGGAGGTCTGTTCCGGGCCCGCCATTGTGGAGCCGGAAGGGAGGCCACGCTGACAGGGAAGCTGCTGTGAGGTGAAGAAGGTTCGCTGGTTTTCTGGCCCGTACCTGTGCAGGGGTCCCAGGGCCCGGTACTCTGTTCTTTGGCGGGAGCTGGTTGACCTTGTCTGAGGTCATTGTTCATCTACGCATCAGGGTCCTTCTATGAGTCTTCGAAGCCAGAACTAGCGAAGAGAGTCAGTCCAGCCCCTCCACGTTCCCTTCACTTTCTTGAGGAAGAAGGTCTGCAACAGGACCATGTAAAACCAACGCGGAGGAGGAGAGAGAGAGAGAGACGGAGGGGAGACAGGGAGAGACGGAGCGAGAAGGGAGACAGAACGAGAGAGAGGGAGGGAGAGGGGGAGAGAAGACAGGGAAGGATGGCGGGGAGGGAGAGAGGAAGAGATAGGGAGAAAGACAGGGAGGGAGAGGAAGAGGCAGAGAGAGAAAGGGAGAGAGAGGGAGGTGGGGGAGAGAGACGTTTGAACGAAGTCTACAGATTAGTTAATAGTGTGATCATTGTTAACTTGCTGACTTTGATCATGGCTGTGGTTATGGGTGTTAATATTTGAGAAAGCTGAATGAAGGATGAACAGAGATTTTTCACCCTAAGTGAAAAGCCATAAGTCTGAAATATAAAACATTAAAAAGTTTTTTAAAAAGAAAAAATCTAGGCAAAAATTATAGCACCTCAAATACTGCTTTTGATATAATTTGTGCCTAGTCAATTTCCTAAAAAACATTATTTTTCTCTTGAAAAATATAAGGTGCTTTGTAGGTTAGTCTTGGCTGGTAAAAGAGAAAAGTATGCAAGATAGAGTATGCTCTAAAAAAGTAAATACATAGCATATGGGGCTTCTAATTTCCTAGTTGCCCCTTTTGGCATGGAGGCATTGTTTTAAAGAAAATCTATTCTTTAAGCAAAAGCTCCAGGTGAGGAGTAAGGGGTGAGTTTGGGGGCCCCCTCTGGCTCTGGGGAAGGGGGAAACAGGCTTTAAAGCTGGGGCAGGAATTTCCCAGCCTAGAGAGTTGGCTGCTCTTCTAGTTACCCGATTTTTCCCCCTGAATGTATCCTTCCCCATCTTTGGGTCTCCCCTTCTTCATGTTCTTCGCTCAATATACAAGGTGCCGAAGTTAAATAAAGCCTTTCTTTTCTTCATAATGCCGCTTGGCATCACGGAGCATCTTGTGCTGGGTGTAGTGTGTGGTCCTAGAATGTCTCAGCTCAGTTTTGCTCAAAAGCTTGCTCTTCCTGGTCTTTCATCTACTTCTCACAACCTTACCCAAAAGAATGTGCAAGTCAACACACAATCGCATAAATGTAGCAGCCTAATTTTTCATAAAACTAAGGCGCATTGAAAAAAGAAGTGAGACTGCCAATTTGTTTTGTATCTTGTGCCTTATTTTATTTTGACTCAGAGCATGTATTTACTTCCACGGTGGAAACCATGCCTGGGGCAGAGGGGAGATGTTCACCACATTTTCTTATATTTTAGAGAGATGTCACTAATGTGGATTCTGTGAGGCAAAGTTTGTTGTAAACTTGGAAATAATGATGATTTGCAGCCCACAGAGCCATTGTTTCATGTAATTCTCAGGAGTTGAACTTAAGTTAACATCAACATGGGGCAGAACCGTACTGTTCTGAAAGTGATTTGAGGTTAGCGGCCAGAGTGAAAGCATGAGTCTCTTCCACAGATGGCTGAGCTAAGACACGGCGTATTCGGTAACTCACGCATGATGAGTCCCACAGCTGGCTCTGTAGATTCTTGGCCCAGTGTTCTGGTCTCCAAGCCCAATCACGCCTTGTTAGGGTTTCGTGGTGGAGTTTATTTTGGTGCATTCCATGGCAGGGTTAGTGGGGTTGGGTGAACATCAAAAGGTTCCGTGTGAGGGGGGAGCTGCTCCAACCAACCATTCTGACTCTCAGAAGCATCTGCCAGCATCATTGGTCTACGGGATTAGACTGGGAACCTTTTTGAAGACAAGATTTCTCCTTTCTCATCTTTTGAAAACAGCAGTAGAGCCCACCTCAGAGGGTTTTGACATCACTAATTTTGACCTCAGAAAAAATAATGTGTGTTTTCAAAATTTCAAGTGATCCCTGAACACCAGAATCTTGGGAAAAGCATGGTGGTCCTTACCAAAGCTTTCTCCCTGCCATGAGCATAGGCCCTACAGATAGTTCCCAGCACAGTAAATGAAACAGTGTCTGCATTGGACAAAAGGCATCTCAAACCTCCAGTAGCCTGGTTATTTTGAACAGTTTTTTTTTTCTTTTTTGCATGAACAAATTTCAGTGCAACAAAGAATCAGAATGGCCACATGAAGTAATCCTAAGTGACACTAGCCTGATGTAGATCCCATTCAATGCAGTCCCTGCCTTCCAGGTGAGACACAGTCCTCAGCTCTGCAGATACCTACAGAGAGTATCCCCTTTCCCATATTTGACCTTCCCTGTTTCCAACCCTAACATGATGGTTTATGTTTGTCTATTGTGTGAGAAGGCAGTTGGTGTTTTTTTGTTTATAAGAATTATTCTGGAATTCCTTCCCTGATAAAACTGCTGATAGACTGGGACCAGATCGGATAAGATTTGGTGTTGAGGACACCTGTCGATTGTTTTGTCAAGATAGAAGGTCCAAGACACAGAGGTGGCTGCAGTGCAGAGAGCAAATGGCCTGAGGTCGACAGGAGGCTGTGGGAATACCAGTTTGGGGCTTTGTCTGTTCACACAGCTCTTGGGAGACAGAAGTGAGACCCAAGAGAGAACCTCTGTGGTTCAGAGAAGGCACCTCACCTGTAGGGGGTCAGCTGTTTGTCTAGGGTGGTCCCACAAATCACCTAGCCACGTCAAACTCACAGAGCAGTGATGTAGTCATTTTTTACCTCACAATAGCACGGATACAATGCAACAGAAAAAGACTTGCAATAAAATAAAACATTTCCTAAATGGAAGGTGGGGATGATGTAAGGTAAGTTAAAACACCATACAGCTGTTTTAGCAGGTTTTTTGTGTTTTTTTGTTTGTTTGTTTGTTTGTTTGTTTGTTTTCTAGATGGATGTGAACAAGATTCCCAGGGTACTCAGAGGGCAGGTGAATGACGAATTTAATATATGCCCCATCTCTAACGTAAGATAGAGACAAAGTTTGTCAAGTTTTATAATGACTTATTTGGAGTAGTGATTGATGAAAAATTATTGTAAAGTAGAAATACAGTATCACAGAAGATTATAGGACCAATCATGAGACCATATAATTATATATCCTCATATATCTTATGTATGAAACTTTGTGTTTTACAAGCTTACCATATTAGAACGGGCCCCCTGTTCCCTGTTCTGAAGGCATATAAATTCACCATGGGCTTTTGAACGTCCTTTGTCCCAACTTCACAATCAGAATTTGTAAAAGCAACAAAAGGTCAGAGTTCGGAGGGCAATTTCTATCTCAAGCATGGAACTAACAGGTAAAGCAATGATGATGGCCCCTGGGAGTCACTGGGCTGTCACAAACCCTGCCAGGGGAAGTTGGCTTTCAGTGTCTTCCCTCTAGACTTCAATGTTTTTGTGGGTGCAGCTCTGCAGACATTTACATGGTTTTAAAAAATGGAACAGTTCAGCTCAGGGGCAAATATATAGACACATTCAGTCTTAACTACCACTTTAAAATACAGATTTTCTACCCACATAAGCGGTTTAGAATCCCTACCATCATTGTCAAGTGTTTGTTTCTGAAAAGTAAATAAGATCAGAATGAAGAGCCGGTGATCAAAGGAACACAGCATTATTTGTAGCTTCCTACAGTCGTGCGGGCTGGCACGCCTATTATCGCTGCTCAGAAATGAAGACCATACCGTTAGAGATGGTTCCTTTGATCATTTCTCCAAAGCAATCTCGTTGTCAGTGGACAGCTTCCCAGAAGACAGTGTGAAAGCACAGCACAAAAGACATTCATTTCGGCTTTACTATGAACAGACTTCAAAAAGCCTTGCTAAGAAATATTTCCAACTCGGCTGGGTACCAGGAATGGGAAGCACAGGCACAGGCCATGCCTGGATCCTAAGAGTTCATGTTTCTCTGTGGCCAGCTTAGGGTTAGGGCTTCATGAAAGGGTACACCAAAAGCTCCTCTCAGGTTTCCCCTTGAAGAAATATATAAATTAAGAAACTGAGAAAGCCTCACAATGGGAAAATTGTGACTCTTCCATCACGAATTTTTCAGATCTGTTGAACTGCATGACTTCCACTCAGCCCTGACGTTCGTGGATGCTGACATCGTTTTTACAAGCATTTGCTGCCTGGACATAGAGACAATCATTGACATCTACATGGCATAGCCCATTTTTGTTCCAGAAAGAGCCAAAGTTACGATGTTTTACTCATCCATATGTAACCTATGTGAAAATAGAGTATCCTAAGACTGATGGAGTGGACTCTGTGGCAATAAGATACCAAATTATAAATAAGATCCAAGGCCATGCACACGCCTCTACACTTAAACAGTAAGCTCTGTTCTGACTGCCACAAGGTTCTTCTTCTTCTCTAGCAGCTAAACAGCACTGGCCACGAGATAAGCAATATCGAAACAATTGCAGCTCATCTGCTGCCGGACGCTGACTAGTTGACTCCCTGTTCCACCAGCCAGAACTAAAGCTTTGACTGGACAAGAGGCTGATTTCAGTCACTTTCTCCTTCATGTGCCTTCATGTGTTTGCTTCACCTTTTGATGTGTAGGTCCTAATTGCAATGCATTTAAATGTTTGATCTCCACCCCAAAGCGAGGATGCCCATGTGACACGCACGTTAGCTTACTATGCATGTGCACGCCCACCTTCATGACCGTCCGTACCTCCTCCTATAACCTGCTGAATATGTTTACTTAGCCAACCTGTTCAGCATCCATTTCTGCCTCACCTTTCCCCACTTGAAGTGTGTGCCTTCAGTCTCTGCTGGAGGCTACACTTCCCAGCTCGCAGGATGGCCAGTCTGCAGGTCGTAAACCCCTATAAGAAATAAAACTCTCATTTCCAATTTATAGATCTGGTAATTCTAACTTGACATCTGTCTCCTTTGTAGGTGGCCTTTAGTGAGCCAGTGGCTCGGATTTATGTGGTCAGATTCTGAGCCGGCAGACACAAGGACAAGCCAGCGAGAGGTGTGGCAGGACTGGAGATTCTGTGTAGGTCTGTATGTGATGGGCTTTATGAAATGCATCTATTTAATGTACTCCAAGCCAATTCTAAATGAAGCATGATGCAGCCAAATATGAAAGGAGCTCATTATTGATACATTTTATGGACCGAATTGTGTTCTCTGGAAAAGGTAGTTGAAGTCCCTTAATATGTGACCTTATTTGGAGGAATAGGATCTTAAAGAAGTAATCAAGTTAAAATCACGTCATTCAAGTGGGCTCTAATCCAATATAACTGATGTCTTTATTAGAAGGTTAAATTTGAACAGAGACAGATGTGCATAGAGAGAAGGTTGTGTGAAGAGACACAGGAAGGAGACGGCCATCTATTTGGAACAGAGCTTCCCTTATAGACCTCAGAAGGAACCAACTCTGATACCTTGGTTTTGGGCTTCCAGACTCCAGAACTGTGAGACAATAAATTCCTGTTATTTAAGGCTCACCAGTCTGCGGGGCTTTGCCATGGCATCCTAAGAAAGTGAGCGTGAAACTTAATTCATCAGTACGGAAAACATCTTGGCAGTTTAACCACTATTGTAATACTCATGTATTGATACGTGTTTCAGAATTTTTCTGCTCTCTTCCTCAGTATGTATGTACAGCAAAAGCTTCAGAGAGAAACTCCAGGCCATGCAAACTCATGAACTAAACTCTGGGAGAGGTGCTGGTGATGACCTGGAAGGGAAAGATGAGTGTTTGGCACAGGACGGGACCGACCGAAAGTGGTTGTGTGGGAGGGTTTGATGGGGTGGCTGCTGGTTGTTGTTGGGAGAGGAGGGGCAGGTGGGTTCTCTCCTCTGGCAAGGCCACGGGTGTGGTCTGGCTTGGAGCAGGATCCAGAGCCATTGAACTCTGAGGAACTATGAAGCTCCTGCTGCAGGTAGGAAAGAAAGAGAAGGTGAGAAGATAGGAGGAAGCTTCCCAATGCCCTAGACAGGTTGCAGGTGAGGGCACAGACCCCTGTGCAGATGTGCTGGAGCTGCAGTGCAGTGGGATGCCCGGGAACATGGGGGGCTCCTGACTTAGTGCTGAGATGCCTGGAAGTCAAAGGCACGTGGAGATGGCGAGCTGCACGATGAGAAGTGTGATCTCCTCCTTCCAAACTGCAGAGAGACCTGGATTACCCTGTCCCTGATCCTTACTGGCTGTGGAATCCAGAAAAATTCTCCTAACCTGCAGTCTCAGTTTTCTCATCTCAAAAATGGGGTTAATATTAGTGTATGTATCACATTATGTTGTGAAGATTAAATGAAATAATGAACATCTGGAGCATAGTAAATGCTCAATAAATGTAGGCTGAATAAAAAAGAGATCCCCAGACCAGCATTATACAACTTCCAAGATTCCTATTGTATATTCCAGTAGGTAGAGTAGCTTTTTTTAAATTAATGGTACAGATAATAAGTTACTGTGCACAGAAAACACCCAACAGGCAGTGCCGGCATGAGTTTATGATACTGTTCCTCTTTCTTCTGTGCAGACGTGAGTGGCCTCCAGGCCATAGCAGTGTGACCTTGGTTTGTCTGCAGCATCCATCCAGGCACGTGGGAAATGTTGTTTTCAGGGACACTGAAATGTGGAATTTATTCATCCCCTCAGCAAGAATTTGCTGAGCCGCTGCCCTGTGCCAGGCAGTGCCACCTGCTCTCAGCTCACACCTGGCATTCTGACAGAGGGAGGCAGACAGCAATGGCCCAGAGTGTCAGAGGGGGTTAGTGCCGCAGACCAGGAGTGAGCGGCGTCGGGAGGGAGTGCAAGATTCCAGCAGGCGGTATGACAAAGCACAGCACACAAGATGAAATGGATTGGGTGCACCTGCTCACAATGGGGGACTAGGGAGTGTCTCAAAGTTATAGTTTCATTTTCAAGAATGTTCTGATACCTCTGTTACTGTACCTAGATTTGTTTTGAGCCTACGTTTCTTTGAGGTAATTGAGGGGTGTCTGATGGAGAATATATGATGAATAGGCACAGAAAGGAATGCGCACCCACCACCAGACTCCCAGCACTGCCTGTGTAAAGGAGAGATCAATAGGCCAGGAGAACCAGATCAAAGAAAAAGAAAAATGGGAAAAGTTTATTCAGCCACCTGTCTGCATCTCCACTATGGGCCTTGTCCTCATGCCCATGGCTTCACTTTCTTTTTAGTAACAACTCTACTGAGAGATAATTCACATACCACACTCTTCACCCATTTAAAGTGTAGACTTCAGTGGTTTTTAGTACATTCCCAGAGTTGTGCAACCTTCCCCACAATCAATTTGAGAACATTTAAACCACCCCTAAAAGAAACCCCGTCCCTATAAGCAGTACCTCCCCACTTTCCCCAGGCCCCAGCGCCTGGCAACCACTAACCTACTTTCTGTCTGTAAGGATTTGCCTTTTCTGCACATTTCATATCAATGCAGCCATACCATGTGGTCTTTTGTGGCTGGTTTCTTTCCCGTAATGTCTTCCAGGTCCACCATATCATAGCATGTGTCACGCTACCTGATAATGTGTGATTCTTCATGCCTGAATCATATTCCGTCAGCTGTGATCTATCACAATGTGCCTACCCAGTGTCAGCTGGTGGATTGCCGGCCTCATTTAATTTCCCACCTGTACGCCTCTGTATGCCCAGCTCTGCTGCTCACTCAGCCCTCTGCGCTGTTCTTGGATTCCCACACCCAGAAGCTGGCAGGAAGCAGTTGAGGATGGAGAGGGAAGGAGGCAGGGGCTGGGGGTCGCAGACAGCACAGCAGTGAGATCATGTGTGTCCTGGGACTCTTCCTTCCTGGCCTCAGCTCTTTTTCCCTCACCAGTCCTATACCTGAAAACCACCCGTCCTCCTCCTCCTCCCTGGCTGCCAGAGTTTTGGGAGCAAATCCTGTAACCGTGCAGATGCCCTCCCTGAGGTGTGTCCCTGCAGCCTGCCTTCATTCTCCTTGTGGTCAGGGAGAGGTGGCTCCCAGCTCCTCCCAAGCCTTCACTGCAGTTCCAGAGCTTCCATCTGGACCCTCCCCTCTCATAGTTTCTGCCCACCCTCAGCCACACGGCACTAGAGCATGAGCTTCTCGGGGGCAGGACCAGACCTTATGCATCTTGACACTCCATGGTGCCTAACACGTGTTCTTACCATGGGGGTGTGGTCCTGGGACACGCAGCCCGGCCTCCCTGAGATCTGAAGGACTGAGGGCTTCATGCCCCGCTGCTGTGAGTGCTGCCAGCACCATCCCCTGCCTGCCCTCTCTCTAGACATTGCCCTCTGCTGAAGGGACCCACCCTGACCATGGTCCCTGGAGCAGCCTCAGTTGAGTGATGTACTTGTGATAAGAGGGCCCTGCCCCTCTCACCCCGATTCCGCACAACCTTAAAGGGCTGCTCCCACTCCAGAGATCTTCCTGTGGGGTGGCTGAGGCTTTTCTTTTGACCACGTGGAAGCCCAGCCTGTCCCTCTGCCCATCTGCCGCTTTCCCTCCCCACAGGTGTTGGTCCTGAGAGCATTCCCAAATAAATTTCCTGAACCATCATCACCATAGCAAAGCAGCTTCCTGGGCAACCTCACCTACAACAGCCATTTAAGAATAGGAATTTGAAAGACATTGAGTGAAAACAATTTATAATTCAGAAAGGAAAGCTTGCCTTATAAATAAAACTATTCATTATTACTTAGCTAAAATAGTCGTAGTTACTTTACAAATGTTTACGGCTCCCCTGGCTTGGAGATCAATCTAATCTTTTTTTTTTTTCTTAATGTTCAGTCTCTTTATGTCTATGGATATGTAAATATTTAATTAAAACATCTTTGTATAAAATAAATGGTGGTATAAGGAAATGGAAAAAAACCCTTACCTGCAGAGAAAATTTGTGAAATATATTTTTCACACAGAAGGGTAAATAGAATATCCATGTTCCATTCAAATAAAAGTGAAACAAATGCCCATCTATCTTCCAAACAGCTGAAGAAATAGAATATCCCCCACTATAGATAGAAGCTGTGTTGTGCCCAGTTAACTGCTATCCTGAATGGCCAGCTTGCTAGAGGATAGATCAGATAGATAGATAGATAGACAGACAGACAGACAGACAGACAGACAGACAGATAGATAGATAGATATACATACATACATACATACACACATACATATATAGATGATGGATTGGTAGATGGTTGATACATGTTAGATAGATAGATAGATATATGGATACATACATACATACATACATACATAGACAAATTGGGTACATAGATACATAGATGATTGACAGGTAGATAGATACATACATACATACATAGATGGATTGGCAGATGGTTGATACATGTTAGATACATACATACATACATACATACATACATAGAAGATGGATTGGTAGATGGTTGATATATATTAGATGATAGATAGATAGATAGATAGATAGATGATGGAAGATATATAGATGGGAGATAGGTGGATAGATAGATGATAGGTGATGGGTAAATAGATAAGTAGATGATGCATAAATGATCTATGATAAGTAGATAATATAGATGTCAATACATAATCACATACACACGTAGTGTAGGTTTTAGTGTTTTTTTCTTTCGTATTTAACTGGAATTTTATACCATATTTTTTTCTGTGACTTGCTGTTTTACTCAATGACAGCTGCGATTCACCTATGTTGATGTGTGCCCTCATGTTTCCTTCACCTCCACTGCTGTGTAGGACTCCCTGTGTGACTGCCCTGTAGCTTATTTAGGCATGGTATGCACTGAGATGTGGTCAGAGTTTGGGGCCACTGGGTTTCCTGCAAGCTCTGCTCCTGTGCACACGTGGACTCCCAATTGTTACAGTGTGACTGTGGGTTACTGCTCAGGTCTGGCACACAGCACTAGTTTCTCCGGGTGTGTGTCTAGGAGTAGAGTCACTACGCATAGAATATAGGCATGTTCAAGTTTGGTAAGTCATTCCAGACCTTTTCCAAGGGATTCCACTGATGTACGCCCTTCCACACAGCGGATGAGAGCTGGTGTTCCTGCATACCCTCACTAATGCTTGGATTTAAGATGGGCCAATTTGGTGGAGGTGAAGTGCAATGTCACCATGGTCTCCATCTGCCCTGCCCCAGTGCCACTGAGGTGAAGCATATGATTATGGGCTATTCATCTTCCCTCCTCTGCTAAGTGACGGCTCAAGGCTCACACTTGTTTTTTTCTATTGGGCTGTTTGCCGTTTTATTATAATTTGTAGTTCTTTATATCTTCTCTGCATACATTCTTTATTAGTTTTATGTAATACAAACATATCTCTTTCAGTTTTTGTCTTTTTTCCACCCTTTGTTGTGTTTTTTGATCAAGATACATAATTAAATTGATTACTTAAGTTAAAATTAAACTCTTAAATTTTAATGTGGTCTAATTTATCAAGTGTTTTCTTTAATATTTGTACATCCTTGTCTTGTATAATGAATGTCTGTGTTCTAAATTTGTAAAGATATTTTCTTACATAAACTTCTAAACATTTTATGAATTTGTCTTTTATAGTCATTTATTCTATCTGAAATTGATTTTTAAGACTGGTGTAATATAGAAATTCACGTTCATTCTTTTCCATTTGGATAAGCAGCAACATTAATTTTTTAAAGTTTTTTGAATTGATAATACATTCACACGCAGCAAAGTATCAAAGCAATGTCAAATGGCTTACAGTGAAAAGTCTTACTTCCCCTCCCTCACAACCCAGTTCTCCACCTGTGCACCTACAGACAACGACTTTTAGTCATTATTTTATAAATTTCCTTGGCATCTCTGTGTAAGTGCAAGAAAACATGAAATTATATTTCCATTTTCCTTCTTTGCTAGACTCCTAAGAAACTTGTTTTTTCACAATTCGCAGTAGACCTTGGCAATTGTTCAAAGTCCCTACCAAGACCTTCCTTGTTCTTTTTGAGGGATGGCACAGTATTCCATTGTACAGTAAAGCCATATCTAGAGATTTTCTTTTCACTCATGATGTAACAGACTGGATCTGCCTCCCTCCCCACCTTAAGCAATTGGAATTTCTGAAGCTAAACTCTAGAACGCAGGAAGCTGTGGAGACAGAAGTGATAACAAACTCCAGAGATGTGTGGAGCATTCTCCTTGAGTCTCTGAGTTGGTCGTGATCTGCACTGGAGTAATGTGGAATGAATGAAGATATGTCTCTTCAAGCCTTTTGCCCATTTTTAATTGGGTGTTTGTGTTTTGTTATTGAGTCATAGAGTTATTTGTATGGCCTGGCTAGCAGACCCTTATCAAATATATGATTTGCAAAATAGTTCTCCCATTCTATAGGTTGTCTTTTCACTTTATTTATAATGTATTTTAAAGCACAAAGCTTTTGGTTTTGATGGAGCCCAATTTTTCTATTTTTTTCTTTTGCTACTTGTGCTTTTGGCTTCCTGTGTAAAAACCCCTTGCAAAATCCAAGATCATGAAGATTTACTTCTGTGTTTTCTTCTAAGAGTTTTATAGTTTTAGCTCTCACATTTAGGTTGTTGGTTCATTATGAGTTAATTATTGTAAATGATGTGATGTAAGCATCCAGCTTCATTCTTTTGCATATTGGTAGCCAGCTGTTCCAGCATCATTTGTTGAAGAAACTGTGTTTCCCATTTGAATTTTATTGGTGTCCTTGTTGAAAATCAATTGGCCTTAGATGTATGGGTTTATTTTTGGGCTCTTAGTTCTATTCCATGGGTCTATATATTTATCCTCATACCAATACTATGCTATTTCAATCACTGTAGATTTGTAGTAAGTTTAGAATTAGGAAGTGTATGTCTTCTCTTTCAGAATTTGTGTGTGTGTCTCTGTGTGTGTGGCTATTCTGGGTACTTTGCAATTCCCTATAAATTTGAGAATCAGTATTTCCATTTCTCCAAAGAAGGCCATTAGAATTTTGATAAGGATTGCATCAAATCAGTAAGTTGTTTTGAGAGTATTGCCATCTTAACAATGTTAAGTTTTCTAATCCATGAACATGGGATATCTTTCCATTTACTTATGTCTTCTTTAATTTCTTTAAGCAATATTTTGTAGTCAAACAATGTCAGTGTACAAGTCTTTCACTCTCTTGATTGAATTTCTTCCTAGATATTATATTCTTTAGGATGCCATTGTAAATTGAATGGTTTTCTGAATTTTCTTTACATATAATTCATGTCCAGTGCACTGATTTTTGTATGTTAATGTGGTATCCTGCAATTTTGCTAAATTTGTTAATTATCTCTCATAGTTTTTTGTAAATTGTAAAGGATATACATATATATATGATTATGTCATCTGTTAATAGGGTAATTTCACTTTTTCCTCCATTTTGGATGTCTCTAATCTCTTTTTCTTGTCTAATTACTCTTAGAACTTTGTATTACTTTATTTTCACACTACTCTAAAGATACTACTTGAGACTGGCTAATTTATAAACAAAAGAAGCATAACTGACTCACAGTTCCATGTAGCTGAGGAGGGCTCAGGAAACTTACAATCATGGAAGAAGGTGAAGGGGGAGCAGGCATCTTCTTCATAAGGCAGCAGGAGAGAGAGAGCAAAGGGGGAACTGTCAAACACTTTTAAAACCATCAGCTCTTATAAGAGCTCCCTATCATGAGAACAGCATGGGGGAAACCACCTCCATGACCAATCACCTCCTACCCTCTGACCAGGACCCCCCTTTGATACATGGGGATTCCACACCTGGCTAATTTTTTGTAGTTTTAGTAGAGACGGGGTTTCACCATGTTAGCCAGGATGGTCTCAATCTCCTGACCTCATAATCCGCCCGTCTTGGCCTCCCAAAATGCTGGGATTACAGGCGTGAACCACCATGCCTGGCTGTGTTAATTCTTCTTTAAGTGATGAGTAGAATTCACCAGTGAAGCCATGTGAATCTGGACTTTTTTGTTGGGAGGCTTTAGTTTACTGATGTAATCTTTACATATCATAGGTCATTTCAGGTTTTCTATTTCTTCGTCTTGATCTAATTTTTTTTAGCATGCAATTGTTCATAATATTCTCCTATAATCATTTTAATTTCTGTAAAGTCAGTAGTAATGTTCCCACTTTTATTTTTGATTCAGAAATTTGAGTCTTCTGTCTGTTTTCTTAGTCAACCTGGCTAAAGATTTCGCAATTTTGTTGATCTTTTCAAAGAAACAACTTTTGGTTTCATTAATTTTCCCTATTGTTTTTCAATTCTCTATTTTATTTCACTTCACTCTATTATCTTTTCCTTCTGCTGTCTTTTGGTTTGGTTTACTCTTATTTATTTAGTCTCCTATGGTGTTAAGTTGTTTTGAAATCTTTATTCTTTTTAATATAGGCATGCACAACTACAAATTTATTCATAAGCACTGCTTTTGCAGCAGTCTATAACTTCTGGTTTGTTATATTTTTGTTTTAATTTGCCTTTAAGTATTTTCTTAATTTCCTTTGGGATTTCTTCTTTGACCCCTTAGTTATTTAACAGTGTGTTGTTTAATTTCTATACATTTGTAAATTTAAAAATTTTTTTTCTTCTTTTGAGTTCTAGTTGATATGGCTTGGACCTGTGCCCCCACCAAATCTCATGTCAAATTTTAGTCCCCAGTGTTGGAGGTGGGGCCTGGTGTGGGGTGGTTGGATCATGGGGGAGAATTTCTCATGAATGGTTTAGTACCATTCTCTTAGTGCTGTTCTTATGACAACGAGTAAATTCTTATGAGATCTGGCTGTTTAAAAGTGTGCAGAACCTTTGTCTCTCACTCTTTCTTGCTCCTGCTCCCACTGTGTGAGATGCCTTGCTCCCTCCTTGCCTTCTGCCATGATTGTTAAGTTTCCTGAGGCCTCCCCAGAAGCCAAGCAGATGCCAGCATCGTGCTTCTTGTACAGCCTGCAGAACCATAAGTCAATTAAACCTCTTTTCTTTACAAATTATGCAGTCTGAGGTATTTCTTTATAACAATGCATGAACAGACTAGTTCACTGGTCTTATTTCATTGTGGTCAGAGAAGATACTTTGCATTATTTCAATGTCTTAAAATTTATTGAGATTTGTTTTGTGGGTTAACATATGATCTATTCCAGAGAAGGTCCCATGCGCATTTGAGAAGAATGTGTATTTGGGGTAGCATGTGTATTATTGGGTAGAATTTACTGATACTTTTGTTAGTTTATAGTATCGTTCAAGTTATCTGTTTTCTTTTTGATCCTCTATTTGTTCTATCTATTACTGAAGGTGGGATATTGAAGGCTCTAACTATTCCTTTCTACAATTCTGTCAATGTTTGTTTCACATATTTGGGGGCTTTCTTATTATATAATTGCTGTATACCTTTGCTTGACTTATCTTTTTTGGTTACTTTTGCATACAATTTATTTTCTTCACTCATTCACTTTCAACCTATATGTGTCTTTGAATTTTAAGTGAGTCACTTATAGACAACATATAGTTGGATTTTGTGGATTTTTTTCTTTCTCCCAATCTCTGCCTATTCTAAGGACAGAAGTATCTTCTTTTCTTATCAGTAAATACTTTAAGTGTGAATATACTAAACAGAAGAGGATCAACTGAAGAGTTTAGTATATTCACACTTAAAGTATTTACTGATAAGAAAAGAAGCTACTTCTGTCACGTTGATTTTTGTTTTCTATATGTCTTATATCTTTTTTGTTCCTCAATTCATAGGTAGACATATAGATCAATGCAATAGAATTGAGAGTTCAGAAATAAACCGATAAATCTATAGTCAAAAAATTTTTGACAACTGTCACAAGACCATTCAATGAGGGCAAGAAGAGTCTTTCCAAAAAATGATATAGAACAACTGGATAGCCAATACAGAAGAATGGAATTGGACCTGTACCTCACACCATGTGCAAAAATTGACTCAAAATGGATTAACGACCCAAATTTAAGAGCTAAAACCATAGAAATACTAAAAGAAAACATAGGGATAAGTCTTCATTACCTTAGATTTTGCAAAGGATTCTTATATATGACACCAAAAACAAATGGAAAGTTATGAGCTCCTGGGAGACAGTTACACTTCTGCCTTGGATGAAGGTGTAAAGTAGGTAAAATGCTGTAATAGGAGTGGAGATGCTCTGCCAGGCCTCCCTTCAGGAAAGGATTTGCTTCCCAGTGTGGGGAATGAGGGCACACACTCTCCAGCTGCCAACTCCTTCAAGGTCTGCCTCCCTGGGTGTCCCGCCATCCTGAGGCAGCCTGGTTTTGGAGAACCCAACCTGTCACAAATATCCACATAGGTCATTTTAGATGGGAATAGGGAAAATTTGGAAGAACTGATTAAAATTGCATAAATGAGTAAATTCCTTGAAAAAGGAATGTAACAGATTATTAGCAGGGGATTGAGACGTTGACAGCTGGTTTTGATTCTATTCATTCAGTGCTCAGACTTTGAGCTTCTACTTCATGCTAGGTGGTAAGGTGTGTAAGTAGACACAATAAAAAATGATAAAGGGGATATCACCACTGATCCCACAGAAATACAAACTACCATCAGAGAAGATTATAAACACCTCTGTGCAAATAAACTAGAAAATCTACAAGAAATTGATAAATTCCTGGACACATACACCCTCCGAAGACTAAGCCAGGAAGAAGTCGAATCCGTGAATAGACCAATAACAAGTTCTGAAATTAAGGCAGTAATTAATAGCCTACTAAACAAAAAAAAAGCCCAGGACCAGACAAATTCACAACCAAATTCTACCAGAGGTACAAAGAAGAGCTGGTACCATTCCTTCTGAAACTATTCCAAGCAATAGAAAAAGAGGGACTCATCCCTAACTCATTTTATGAGGCCAGCATCAACCTGATACCAAAACCTGGCAGAAACACAGCAAAAAAAGAAAATTTCAGGCCAATATCCCTGATGAACATCAGTGTGAAAATCCTCAATAAAATACTGGCAAACTGAATCCAGCAGCACATCAAAAAGCTTATCCACTACGATCAAGTTGGCTTCATCCCTGAGATGCAAGGCTGGTTCAACATTTACAAATCACTAAATGTAATCTATCACATAAACAGAACCAATGACCAAAAGCACATGATTATCTCAATAGATGTAGAAAAGGCCTTCGATAAAATTCAACACCTCCTCGTGCTAAAAACTCGCTATAAACTAGATACTGATGGAACATATCTCAAGATAATAAGAGCTATTTATGACAAACCCACAGCCATTATCATACTGAATGGGCAAAAGCTGGAAGCATTCCTTTTGAAAACTGGCACAAGACAAGGATGCCCTCTCTTACCACTCCTATTTAACATAGAAGTTGAAGTTCTGGCCAGGACAATCAGGCAAGAGAAAGAAATAAAGGGTATTCAGATAGGAAGAGAGGAAGTCAAATTGTCTCTGTTTGCAGATGACATGATTGTATATTTAGAAAACCCCATCATCTCAGCCCAAAAACTCCTTAAGCTGATAAGCAACTTCAGCAAAGGTTCAGGATACAAAATCAAGGTGCAAAAATTACAAGCATTTCTATACACCAATAATAGACAAACAGAGAGCCAAATCATGAGTGAACTCCCATTCAAAATTGCTACAAAGAGAATAAAGTACCTAGGAATACAACTTACAAGGGACATGAAGGATCTCTTCAAGGAGAACTACAAACCACTGCTCAAGGAAATAAGAGAGGATGCAAACAAATGGAAAAAAATTTCATGCTCATGGATAGGAAGAATCAATATCGTGAAAATGGCCATACTACTCAAAGTAATTTATAGATTCAATGCTATTCCCATCAAGCTACTACTGACTTTCTTCACAGAACTACAAAAAACTACTTTAAATTTCATATGGAACCAAAAGAGAGCCCATATAGCCAAGAGAATCCTAAGCAAAAAGAACAAAGCTGGAGGCATCACCCTACCTGACTTCAAACTATACTACAAGGCTACAGTAACCAAAACCACATGGTACTGGTGCCAAAACAGATATGTAGACCAATGGAACAGAACAGAGGCCTCAGAAATAACACCACACATTTATAAACCATCTGATCTTCAACAAACCTGACAAAAACCAGCAATGGGGAAAGAATTCCCTATTTAACAAATGATGCTGGGAAAACTGGCTAGCCATATGCAGAAAACAGAAACTGGACCCTTTCCTTATACCTTATAGAAAAATTAACTCAAGATGGATTAAAGACTTTAATGTAAAACCTAAAACCATAAAAAACCCTAGAAGAAAACCTAGGCAATACCATTCAGGACACAGGCATGGGCAAAGACTTCATGACTAAAACGCCAAAAACATTTGCAACGAAAGCCAAAATTGACAAATGGGATCTAATTAAACTAAAGAGCTCCTGCACAGCAAGAGAAACTATCATCAGAGTGAACAGGAAATCTACAGAATGGGAGAAAATTTTTGCAATCTATCCATTTGACAAAGGTCTAATATCCAGAATTTACAAGGAACTTAAACAAATTTACAAGAAAAAACAACCCCTCAAAAAGTGGGTGAGGATATGAACAGAGACTTCTCAAAAGAAGACATTTATGAGGCCAAAAAACACATGAATAAAAGCCCCTCGTCACCGGTCATCAGAGGAATGAAAATTAAAACCACAATGAGATACCATCTCATGCCAGTTAGAATGGCAATCATTAAAAAGTCAGGAAACAACAGATACTGGAGATGATGTGGAGAAATAGGAACACTTTTACACTGTTGGTGGGAGTGTAAATTAGTTCAACCATTGTGGAAGACAGTGTGGCAATTCTTCAAAGACCTAGAACCAGAAATACCATTTAACCCAGCAATCCCATTAATGGGTATATACCCAAAGGACTATAAATCATTCTACTATAAAGACACATGCACACGTATGTTTATTGCAGCACTATTTACAATTGCAAAGACTTGGAATCAACTCAAATGCCCATCAGTGATAGATTGGATAAAGAAAATATGGCACATACACACCATGGAATACTATGCAGCCATAAAAAAGATTGAGTTTATGTCCTTTGCAGGGACATGGATGATGCTGGAAACCATCATTCTCAGCAAACTAACACAGGAACAGAAAACCAAACACCACATGTTCTCACTCATAAGTGGGAGTTGAACAATGAGAACACATGGACACAGGGAGGGGAACATAACACACGGGGGCCTGTAGGGGGTTGAGGGCAAGGGGAGGAGAGCATTAGGACAAACATCTAATGCCATGTGGGGTTTAAAACCTAGATGATGGGTTGATGGGTGCAACAAACCACCATGGCACATGTATACCTGTGTAACAAACCTGCACATTCTGCACATGTACCCCAGAACCCAAAGTAAAAAACAAAAAAATAAAAAAGGAAACTTTTAACTCACTTCTGTCTGCAGGTCACATTCAATGCTTCTGGCAACATCCTGGGGCAAGCGGACATGTGATGCTGAGGTGTATTTTGGCAGTGATTAACTTTGGACAGCAATGAGCATGGCTTGAGTTTATTCAACACCCCAAAAGTAAAACAATTAAAACCCCAAGAAACACTGAAATGACAGCCGTGAAATAATAATTACTCAAAATGCTCAGAAACGTTACTGCCGCAATATATTTGAAGCACTGAATTGCTGTACTTCACATCCCGGTAGAAGAAGAGCTGCACCCAATCTGAGCTTAAGATTGCATCTCTGTAAGGAACAGTACCCTAAATATAGAATGCAAAATGCTTTAAGTCTATTAGTGCCACCTGAAACACTTTTGTACATAAGTTGAATAGATCACTGTCATTATAATCTGGCCTAAAACCCTCTTTTTAAACAAAATGAAGCTATTCAATAAAGCATACCCAATTAGGTTTTACTTGCCAGCCCCACCCTGCTCCTAAGCTGTGTCTTCATAAGCTTGTGCCACATGCAAAAGTTAGCCTAAAGCTTTGGGGCAGAGTCACTGAATCATGAATCTTCACTGTTAGAACATGTTTTGTATGTTTAGAAAACACCAAAATATTGAATTAAGTAAAGTTACTAGGGTGACTGTAGCTTGGTTAGCGCCAGATAAACTGTCATAGACAGAGGGATACCAAGATACGGAAGAGGACATCAAAAGCTCCTGCTCAAACTGCTAGTCGTGATGTGTGCAGACACCTGTGCACACAGGCAAAACCCATGTGGGAGAGGTGGTAACATGCCCAGCTGTGGGCTTTCCAATAAGTCGCAGGATTCTGTCCCCTCATCTGTGGGTGGGACTACAGTGTCACTGGTCTGTGGCATCTAGCTTTTCAGTTTTCATGTATTATATCTTCTTTTTACAGATTACTTTTTAAATTTTCCCTTCAGTTTTTGTATTATTTGTATTCTCTTTTTACAATTTATTTTTTTTTGCCAGAAATCTCATTCTCTTTCCACGTAATCTAGAACTAACTCTTAAAGGAAAGAGATATCTGAAGAAGTCCTGCAAACTTCTACAAAATGAGAAGGCAGAGAGCTCGCCTTTATGCACACTGATCCCACACCAGGCACTCGCCTGTGTCATTTTATTCTATCCTCAAAATCATCCTTTTTCCCACTTGGATATTTCTCTCATTTTTCCAGATGAGAATATCAAGACATGACAAATGCTGCCCAAAGTCATCTTTTCAGTAAGATTAATAATGAACACTGTTTGCAGCCAAGCCCACCATTCCCCCCACCCCCCAATAGCCCAGCTTCTCTCCAAAGTTAAACTAAACATGGTTCTTTTTTTTTTTTTTTTTGAGATGGAGTCTTGCTCTGTCACCCAGGCTGGAGTGCAGTGGCGCGATCTCGGCTCACTGCAAGCTCCACCTCCCGGGTTCAGGCCATTCTCCTGCCTCAGCCTCCCGAGTACCTGGGACTACAGGCGCCCGCCACCACGCCCGGCTAATTTTTTTTTTTTTTTTTTTTTAGTAGAGACGGGGTTTCACCGTGTTAGCCAGGATCGTCTCCATCTCCTGATCTCGTGATCCGCCCACCTCAGCC
The DNA here is from genome assembly GCF_000001405.40 of Homo sapiens. Classification (NCBI taxonomy): domain Eukaryota; kingdom Metazoa; phylum Chordata; class Mammalia; order Primates; family Hominidae; genus Homo; species Homo sapiens. The sequence goes on along the minus strand of NC_000006.12, from coordinate 983,399 downwards.
TCCCAAAGTGCTGGGATTACAGGCGTGAGCCACCGTGCCCAGCCATAAACATGGTTCTTAATGATGACAACGGATAGAGCATCCACAGCCTAACCACAGGAAGTTCTTTCTTGTAGCTAACTAAATTCCCCAGAAAGTTATTCCTTTTTTTTTTTTTTTCTTTTTTGAGAAGGTGGCCCAGGCTGGAGTGCAGTGGCCTGATCTCAGCTCACTGCAACTTCTGCCTCCTGGGTTCCAGGGATTCTCTTGCCTCAGCCTCCCGAGCAGCTGGGATTATAGGCACACACCACAACGCTCAGCTAATTTTTTTGTATTTTCAGTAGAGACAGGGTTTTACCATGTTGTCCAGGCTGGTCTCAAACTCCTCATCTCAAGTGATCCAACTGCCTCAGCCTCCCAAGTTATTCCCTTTTTATCATATTCTGTCTTCAAAGAGATTGAGGCTGGCAGGTTATCATCTCTGGCACTAAATATTTTACTTACTTATCTTTCATTTTGTGGCCTCCACATAAAGTTCCCAGTTCCTGTCATCTTTGTTAGAATGACTACTTCTTGGCCTTAAATCTTCTTCGTTTTTCTCCACTGCACCTCTTTTAAGCCAGTGCCTCTTTGTAAAGAGCAGAGCAGCCCAGTGACATGCAGGGGCCATACTTTGACCAGATGGGTTTGGGTTTCACCCTGAAATTTGCCATTTCCAGGCAGTATGAAATTGAGCAAGCGACTTTCTCTCTCCTAGCCTCAGTCTCCTCACTTCTAAAATAAAAATATGAATGCCTAACCTCATGGGGTGGTTGTAAGGATTAAAAATAATACTTGGATAGTCCCTGGCACACAGTATTTGTGCTACAAAATTAAAAATGTCTGGCATAACTGTTTGTACTAAAAGTAACCTGGGCCAGGCGTGGTGGCTCACCCCTGTAATCCCAGCACTTTGGGAGGCGGAGGTGGGCGGATCACCTGGGGTCAGGAGTTTGAGACCAGCCTGGCCAACATGGCGAAATCCCATCTCTACTAAAAGTACAAAAATTAGCTGGGCATGGTGGCAGGTGCCTGTAATCCCAGCTACTCAGGGGGCTGAGGCAGGAGAATCGCTTGAACCTGGGAGGCAGAGTTTGCAGTGAGCTGAGACTGTGCCACTGCACTCCAGCCTGGGCGAGACTCAGTCTCAAAAACAAACAAAAAAAAAAACAGTAGGATGTGTATACAATGAAGTGCAAAGATTTCCAACTTGTGTCCTGAGATAGTTTGCATGATTGGCAAGAAAGACCCTGGTCAGCCACCTTCCAGATGGTCACTGTAAATGGCAGCTACCCGGACATACTGAGAACTGAGAACCCTCCTCTGGTGGCCGGCCTTTGTATGGTCCATCAGCATATCACACACTCTATACCAATTTGATTTCTGGGTTTACAGGAGATGTTGGGACTATGGCGCAAGGCTTTTCTACCACAACTCTACATGGCATGCTCAGACCCGTTTTAATATATGCAGTGGCAACTGAGTATCTGCCTTAAAGCTGTGCAGGTGTTTCTATGTACAGCCCTAGCAGGGAATTATGGCTGTAAGAATACCTGGGTTCCTACAGTAGCCCAGAATTTCAGTGCCTCTTACAAAGCCATTCTGGTGACTTATGCAGGATCCAAAGGGTGATATGGGATTTTGCACATAGAAGGGAACTGGCTGAGAAGGAGAGGAGTGGGAGGGAGATTTTCTGTTGTTACATCCTTCTGTAACTTTTTAAATTATATGAATATATTCAAAAATGAATGGCTAAAATTTGAAAATAGGCACTTCACATATGGAGCTCTGGAGAACTTGGTTTGGTGTCAAAGAGCTATAGGGAGCACCAAAGTTTGTGAGATTTGTCCATTGCAGAGCTGACCTCCAGGTAACTGTCCAGATTCAAGATGTTCAAAGGGTTCTGATGCATTTTTCAGAGCCAGGTTAATATGTGACAGACAAGTGGAAAGCTCTTGACACATGTTTTGTGTTAAAAAAAAAAAATCCAGAAGATTACAGAGCATCTGTAACTTCTCATTCCAGCGCTGAGGAGTGGGGTGTTCAAAGACATTTTTGGACACTAAGAAGCTCATAGGAAGAGGCCTGTAGAGAGCTTTCTAGAAAAGCATTAGAAAGAGCACTAAAAAGCTGATCACCAGAACTGGCACAGAATGGCAAAGTTTCTCCATGCTGTCTCTAAAAGTGGATCCCTTCAAAAAAAATTTTAGAGAAGCAAAGAGAAAAACCAATTTGATGTATTTCCAAATTTGTCATACAACACATCCAGTAAAAAAAGAAATCAAGCAAGTTATAAAACAATTAACTAAAGGCAGAAAAAGCCTAAGAGTCTGAAAGGTACTCCTGGAATCGTCTGCAGTACTAACTCCACTAACACACTGCCGGAATAAAAGCATTCAAAGCCTCTGGTAACTGACCAAAAACTAAGGAGATCACTTCCACTCTCTTCCCAGCCTTCACTGCGCACTCCTCCCATTTCTCTACTTTACTTTGAATTTATTAATGTGTATTCTGTTGTAACTAATCACCCTTTAAGTCTTTGACTCTCAATCTTCCTGCACATTGACAGTTTAGAATCTCTGGTCAGATGCATTTATTATATAATAGTGTGTGCCAAGTACTCATAAGCAGGAAATATTATGTCCTAACTCCCACTAATGCTAAGCCATTCTGGTGACTTATGCAGGATCCGAAGGGCGATACAGGGTTTTGCACATAGAAGGGACCTGGTGCTTCATTCTTCTCTGCTGGCTTTTTCTTCTTTTTTTTCAATATTAAATCCTTGTTAAACATTTGTTTGGCCAAAGGATTAACAAAAACAAATAATTCTGCCGTGCATAGAGTTGAGCAAAGTTCTTAATTTCCCTGAATTGCCATCTGAGCTTCAGTCTTTAATTAGAAGCCCTCAAGTTGCTGGTGACCTTGGGGAACAGGACTGGGGAGATATACAACGATTGGTGTATAACTTGAATTTTTACAGGGCAAAGTGGACATGCAATTTCTTTGTGAATTAGCAACTTAAGAGTGAACAATGAAGTGGCTATATTTTCTGAATTCAAACCTGTGACATAGAATATGATATTACAACTGTACTTATGGGGATATTATAAGCCAGCTGAATTGAACATTTTTGTCAGCTTACAAAATAAGCTGTTTATAGTGATGATTCCCATGAAGGACTCTTAAGTGGTTGAGGAACAATGTTAGAAGCAGACTGATTTTTGTAGAGCATATAATTTTATATCTGTCACATTGTGTAACATGTCCTAGGAATTATCTTTTAAAGAATAAATAGAATGTTTCTTAGAAAATTATAAAATAACTTTGCTTAACTCTATGCAAATAAATTTGGAAAATGTAATAAACTGAAATGGATGATTCTTCTGGAACATATGAAATGCCAAAACTAACTTTAGAAAAGGAGAACCTTTAAATAGACCACAAAAGAAATAGAACTAATCCCCAAAGAGCACCAGGCCCGTTTACAATCGAATGCAAAGGCCTGTGCATACCTTGTTAATTTAGAGTAACAAAAAGAGATCCATAACATCTCCGGGAGGAAACAGAAGCACCTGCTAACTCCTTTGAGTGGAGGAAGTGGGTGCGGACAGAGAGGAGGCAGGGTTTTCAAAAAGGCCCCTATAAAATTGTATTCCATTTAGATGTGTAACTTGGTCAGGATTCCTTTTACTCTTACCATAAAAGCAGGAACTGTGCTAAGCAAATCAGATGCATTGTTTCTTTTTATACCCATAAGAAATTTTGAAGATAAGCACCATAATAGGGTTGTAGGAAAAAATGGTGGATAGGAGACAGAACTAATGTGCAGCTCCCACTTAGTTGAACAGAACAGTGTTTGGAGACTCACATTGTGAACTTTTGCTCCAAGAACCACCACAGGAACATACCAGGAAAACCAAAAGAATTCAAAGAGCCTTTGAAAAAAGTGGCTTGCCATTGCAAACACTGTGAGACAGTCGAAAAACTGTGAGTTCCCTAAGAGTGAGAGGGGGAAAAGTTGGCCTCTGAACTTACTTCCCCAATGGAGAACCTGAAATTCCAGATCATGGGGAAAGATTTAACCTTACTTAGAGCTGAAATTGATTTAGGGAGCCCAGCAAAATATAGCAGTAGAAGAAGCGGTGGGAAGATCAGCAGTAGGCACTCCTGATCTCCAGCTTGAGCCAAGGGAAGCCCTTCCTGGCCTTACCTCTTTGCAGACCTTCCCCAGCACCAGCCTGGAGCCCAGTAGCCCCCACTAGATGGCTAGATCCAGAGGACAATAACAGTTGCTGCAGTCTGGCTCTTAGGAAGCCCTGTCCCTAGAGGAAGGGGGAGAGCACCACATCAAGGGATCACCCCATGGGACAAAATAAACTGAAAAGCAGCCGTTGAGTTTCAGATCATTCCACTGAAAGTCTACTCAATTGAAACGGAACCAGAAAACTAATTATGATAATATGACAAAACAAGGTTCTGTAACACCCCCAGAAGATCACATTAGCTCTCCAGCAATGAACCCAAACCAAGAAGAAATTTCCAAATTGCCAGGAAAAGAATTCAGAAGGTTGATTATTAAGCTACTCCAGGAAGCACCAGGGAAAGGTGAAAAGCAACTTAAAGAAAATTAAAAAGCAATACCAGATATGGAAGAAAAAGTATCCAGAGAAATAGATATCATAAGGAAAAGACAATCATAACTTCTGGACATGAAAGACACACTTAGAGAAATGCAAAATACACTGAAAAGATTCAACAATAGAATCAAAGGAGTAGAAGAAAGAACTTCAAAGCTTGCAGACATGGCTTTTGAACTAACCCAATCTGACAAAGAAAAAGAAAAAAAATTTAATGAAAAAAGCCTCTAAGAAATTTGGGATTATGTGAAATGAACAAACATTTAACTGGTGTTCCTGAGGAAGAAGAGAAATCTAAAAGTTTGGAAAACTTACTTGAGGTAATAATCAAGGAAAATTTCCCTGGTCTTGCTAGAATTCTGGACGTACAAATACAAGCAGCTCAAAGAACACCCAGGAAATTCATCGCAAAAAGATCATCACCTAGACACATAGTAATCAGGTTATCTAAAGTCAAGACAAAGGAAAGAATATTAAGAGCTGTGAGGCAAAAGCATCAGGTAAACTATAAAGGAAAACCTATCAGATTAACAGCAGATTTCTCAGCAGAAACTGTGCAAGCCAGAAGGGATTGGGATCCTATCTTTAGCTTCCTTAAACAAAATAATTATCAGCCAAGAATTTTGTATCCAGTAAAACTAAGCTTCATAAATGAAGGAGAGGTTTTCAGACAAACAAATGCTGAGAGAATTCACCACAAACAAGTCAGCACTACAAGAAATGCTTAAAAGGAATCCTAAATCTTGAAACAAAACTGCAAAATACACCAAAATAGAACCTTCTTAAAACATAAATCTCACAGGACCTATAATATAATAACACAATGAAAAAGAAGCAAGGTACTCAGGCAACAACTAGCATGATGAATGGAACAGTACCTCACATCTCAATACTAGCATTGAATGTAAATGGTCTAAGAGCTCCACTTAAAAGATACAGAATGGCAGAATGGATAACAATCCACCAACCAAGTATCTACTGTCTTCAAGAGGCTCACCTAACACATAGGGACTCACATAAACTTAAGGTAAAGGAGTGCAAAAAGATAATCCATGCAAATGGACACCAAAAGCAAGCAGGAGTAGCTCTTCTTACATCAGACAAAAAGCACTTTAAGGCAACAACAGTTAAAAAAAAAAAGATAAAGAGGGATATTATATAATGATAAAAAGATTAGTCCAATAGGAAAATATCACAATCTTAAATATATATGCACCTAACACTGGAGCTCTACTAGACCTAAGAAATGAGATAGCAACACAATAATAGTGGGGGACTTCAACACTCCACTGACAGCTCTAGACAGGTCATCAAGACAGAAAGTCAACAAAGAAACAATGGACTTAAACTACACCCTAAAACAAATGGACTTAACAAATATTTACAGAACATTCTACCCAACAACTGCAGAACATACATTCTTTTTATCATCACTTGGAACATTCTCCAAGATAGACCATATGATAGGCCACAAAACAAGCCTCAACTGGGCATGGTGGCTCATGCCTGTAGTCCCAGCACTTTGGGAGGCTGAGGCAGGTGGATCACGAGGTCAGCAGATCGAGACCATCCTGGCTAACATGGTGAAACCCTGTCTCTACTAAAAATACAAAAAATTGGCTGGGTGTGATGGCAGGCACCTGTAGTTCCAGCTACTTGGGAGGCTGAAGCAGGAGAATGGCGTGAACCCGGGAGGTGGAGCTTGCAGTGAGCCGAGATCGCACCATTGCACTCCAGCCTGGGCTACAGAGCAAGACCCTGTCTCAAAAAAAAAAAAAAAAAAAAAAAAAACAAGCCTCAATCAATTTAAGAAAATTGAAATTAATCAAGCACTCTCTCAGACCACAGTGGAATAAAATTGGAAATTAACTCCAAAAGGAATCTCCAAAACTATACAAATAAATTGAAGTTAAATAACATGCTCTTGAGTGATCCTTGAGTCAACAATGAAATCAAGATAGAAATTTAAAAATTCTTTAAACTGAATGATAATAGTGACACAACTAATCAAAACCTTTGGGATACAGCAAAAGCGAGACTAAGAGGAAAGTTGATGGCACTAAATGCCCACATCAAAAAGTCTGAATCCAGAGAACAAATAGACAATCTAAGCTCACACTTCAAGGAACTAGAGGAACAAGAACAAATCAAACCCAAATCTAGCAGAAGAAAAGAAATAACAAAGATCAGGGAAGAACTAAATGAAATTGAAACATAAAAAATAAAAGATAAATGAAACAAAATTTTGTTCTTTGAAAAGATAAAATCAATAGATCATTAGTGAGATTAACCAAGAAAAGAAGAGACATGATCCAAATATGCTCAATTAGAAATGAAATCGGAGCTATTACATTCAATACTACAGAAATACAAAAGCTCCTTCAAGGCTGCCATGAACACCTTTATGTGCACAAACTAGAAAATCTAGAATAGATGGATAAATTCCTGGAAATATACAACCCTGCTAGATTAAGCCAGAAAGAAACAAAAACTCTGAACAGACCAATAAGAAGTGGCAAGATTGAAACAGTAATTTTTAAAAACTGCAAACACAAAAAGTCCAGGACCAGATGGATTCATGGCTGAATTCTATCAGGCATTCAAAGAAGAATTGGTACCAATCCTACTGAAACTATTCCAAAAGATAGAGAAAGATGAAATCCTCCCTAAATCATTCTAGAACTTCTTTGAAGTTCTTTTTTCTACTTGCTTGAAGTTCTAGCCAGAGCAATAAGACAAGAGAAAGAAATAAGGGGCATCCAAATTGATAAATAGGAAGTCAAACTGTTGCTGTTTGCTGATCATATGATCATATACCTAGAAAACCCTAAAGACTCATCCAAATAGGTCCTAGATCTGATAAATGAGTTCAGTAAAGTTTCAGGATACAAAATCAATGTACACAAATCAGTAGCACTTCTATACACCAACAGTGACCAAGCTGAGAACCAAATCAAAAACTCAACCCCTTTATCAAAAGCTACAAACCCCCTTTTACAAAAGCTATGGAACTCCTTTTACAAAGCTCCAAAAAATAAAATACTTGGGGATATACCTAACCAAAGAGGTAAAAGATGTCTACAAGAAAAACTACAAAGCACTGCTGAAAGAAATCATAGACAACACAAACAAATGGAAAGACATCCCTTGCTCATGGGTGGGTAGGATCAATATTGTGAAAATGATCATACCACCAAAAGCAATCTATAAATTCAAGGCAATTCCCATTAAAATACTATCATCATTCTTCACAGAACTAGAAAAAACAATCCTAAAATTCATATACAACAAAAACAGAGCCCACATAGCCAAAGCAATACTTAGCAAAAAGAACAAATCTGGAGGCATCACATTACCTGACTTTAAACTATGCTACAAGGCTATAGTTACCAAAACAGCATGGCACTGGTGTAAAAACAGGCGTGTAGACCAATGGAACAAAATAGAGAGCCCAGAAATAAAGCCAAATACTTACAGACAATTGATATTCAACAAAGCAAACAAAAACATAAAGTGGGGAAAGGACACCCTATTCAACAAATGGTGCTGGAATAATTGGCAAGCTACATGTAGAAGAATGAAACTGGATCCTCATCTCTCAGTTTATGCAAAAATCAACTCAAGATGGATCAAAGACTTAAATCCAAGACCTGAAACTATAAACATTCTAGAACACAATATCAGAAGAACAAAACTCTTCTAGACATTGGCCTAGGCAAAGAGTTCGTGACCAAGAACTCAAAAACAAATGCAACAAAAACAAAGATAAATAGATGGGACTTAATTAAACTAAAAACTTCTGCACAGCAAAATAAATAATCAGCAGAGAAAACAGACAATACACAGAGTGGGAGAAAATATTCACAAATCATGCATTCAACAAAGGACTAATATTCAGAATCTACAAAGAACTCAAACAAATCAGGAAGAAAAAAACAAATAATCCCATCAAAAAGTGGGCTAAGGACATGAATGGACAATTCTCAAAAGAAGATACACAAATGGCCAATAGGCATATGAAAAAAATGCTCAACCTCACTAATTATCAGAGAAATGCAAATCAAAACCACAATGCAGTACCACCTTACTCCTGCAAGAATGGCCATAATTGAAAAATCAAAAAATAATAGATGTCAGCATAGATGTGGTGAACAGGGAAGACTTCTACACTGCTGATGGGAATGTAAACTAGTACAGCCACTATGGAAACCAGTGTGGAGATTCTTTAAAGAACTAAAAGTAGAACTACTATTTGATCCAGCAATCCCAGTACTGAGGAAGAGAAGTCATTATAGGAAAAAGACACTTGCACATGCATATTTATAGCAGCAAAATTTGCAATTGCAAAGATGTGGAACCAGCCTAAATGCCCATCAACCAACAAGTCGATAAAGAAAACGTGATCTATATATATATACACACACACACCCCATATATATATACACACACACCTTTTATATATATACACACATATAAATGCCCATATATATATATATATACACATACATATAAATGCCCATATATATATGTGTGTGTATATATATACATACACACACCATGGTATATATATATATACACACACACACATATATATGGTATGTGTATATATATATATGGTATGTGTGTATATATATACATATACACACATGGTGTGTGTATATATATGTATATATATATAGTGTATATATATGTATATATATATACACCACAGAATACTATCCAGCCTTGAAAAGGAACAAAATAATGGCATTCGCAGCAACCTGGATGGACTTGGCGACCATTATTCTAAGTGAATTAACTCAGGAATGGAAAACCAAACATTGTATGTTCTCACTTAAAAGTAGGGGCTAAACTATGAGGATGCAAAGGCATAAGAATGATATAATGGACTCTGGGGACTTTGGAGAAAGGGTGGGAGGCAGGTGAGTGATAAAAGACTACAAATAGGGTGCAGTATACACTGCTTGGGTGATGAGTGCAACAAAATCTCAGAAATCACACCTAAAGAAATCCATGTAACCAAACACCACCTGTTCCCCAAAAACTATTGAAATAATAAGATAAAATAAATCTATGATTAATCACAAATGGATGGACAGAGACAGCAGAAATTAAATTACCAAAGAAAAACTACACATTTCAGGGGTTTTATGAACATGGGAAACTTTAAGACAGACGGCTTTCTTTGTGGATTGTTTAGTGGATTTATTTCTTCTCTAAAACATTTTAAAGAATTTTAAAAATTAAAAAATTAAAAAAGAACTGTAATAGTCCCAGCTGCAATCTACATTTTCATTTCTAATAGACTTTCATCACAGATATATTAATTGACAAATCTTAAGGTTTCTAATATAAATTTCTAATGCATCTTTTTATGTATGTATAAATTTATACTGAAAAATTATATGCCAAAAATACACTGAGAATTCAGCTGACAAATTAGAGTTCCACAGTCTAGGATGATTGAGATTTTCACCAAATATCCAAGGATCTCAAAGTTCTTTAATTTCATATCATTTCCCTCCTGCTAAGCATACCAAAATACTGGTCAGCCAACTTTAAATTATTAACTAATTATTTTTTTAAGTTGGGGTCTTACTCTGTTGCCCAGGCTGGAGTGCAATGACGTGATCGTAGCTCACTGCTGCCTCAAACTCCTGGATTTAAGTGGTCCTTTCATCTCAGCCACCCAAGTAGCTGTGACCACCACACCTGGCTAAGTTTTTTAAAGTTTTTTGATAGAGATGGGATCTGGCTATCTTGCCCAGGCTGGTCTTGAACTCCTGGCTTCAAGCTATCCTCCCACCTCAGCCTCCCAAAGTGCTGGGATTACAGGCATGAGTCATCACGCCTGGCCCCAAATGTTTTAAAAAGTGGAATGTAACAGGGTGAAGCTTTGAAGCTTTGAAGTCTGTCATGCCACCTGGGACTAGATCTACCTCCTGCACCTGTAAAAGATGAGGCTGGGGACAAATGTGTTTATCCTAATCACCCTCATATCTTATATAAGTGAATTTGTGGGGCTTTGGGTACCTCAAAGTGAAGAATGCAGCTGACATCCCTGCTCTGAAAGAACTTACAGTGTGGTGGGGAGGACAGTCAGTAGTAACCAGTCATCACTAGGGCAGTGCTGGTCACAAAGTAAGTGCTATAGAGTGGATGGCAGGGAGTTCATGTAGACTCGCCTGAGATAGGGTTCTCAAATTCATTGGAATCACCTAGGGAGCTTTAAAAATATCCCCGTGGCTGGGCCACAACCGCAGACTAATTGAAGCAGGATGTCTGGGCTGGGAGAGGCAGGCAGCAGACTCTTTAAACACCCACGTGATTCCAAGACACAGACATGTTTGGGAACAGTGGCGTGGCAGGTCTGTGGTGGCTGGTGAGGGCGGGGTGGGGGACCAGGAAATATGCATCCCAATAGCTGATAGAAGCCAAGTTTCTAAAATTCAAGTAAGCTGTTGTTTCACACGACGCAATGGCCGAGTGAGGGCAAAGACAATTTTCTGTTGCCTAAATATAGAATGGAGCTTGCAGGGGCAAGACACGTAACTCTATTGATTTTGCCTGGCCTGAACACGTCACCAGCTGAGAGGGCTCATGAGGCATGGTTTTGTGGTCTGTGTAGTCGGGCGGGTCTTCCACACACAGACACGGGGTGCGGCAAGTGTCGCCAAGAGTCCTCCTTAGGTTTGCTTGGTTCAGGGAATCCCAGGTGGGACAAGCCACCCCTTCTGAACGTATCTCCCCATCTCATCAAACCATGGAATGCAAAATCACTTTTATAAGAAATGCTCAGTTTGTTAATAGCTTTCTAGGAGTTTTCTTCCCCCTCTGACTTTTCTCATGGTTTCGTAATTCATTCATTGTGTCATGAGGTGAATTGCGTCCCTCAAAATTCCTGTGTTGAAGTCTTAACGTCCTGTACTTCAGAATGTGAATACCTTTCAAGAGGTAATTAAGTTAAAATGAGGTCATTGGGGTGGACCCTGATACCGTATGCCTGGTGTCCTCATCAGAAGAGGAGATGAGGACACAGACACGCACAGAGGGAAGACCAGGCAAGGACACAGGGAGAAGATGCTGTCCACAAGCCAAGGAGAGAGACCTCAGGAGAAACCAACCCTGCCCACACCTGGGTCTCAGACATCTATCTTCCAGAATGGTGAGAAAATAAATTCCCATTGTTCAAGCCACTCAGACTATGGTATTTGTTAGAGCAGCCCCAGCAAACTAATCTACATTTCTTTTTTAATAATTTCTTTTAACAAGCATTTACTTAGCACCTACAGAAGTAGCCCAATTTGGACTCATGAACACATAATTTCTTACTACTTTAGAGGACATGATTTCTGGAACATGCTTTCCTAAATAGAAGTCAAATGTTTTTGTTTGCTTCTTCTTTTCCAGAACCTGTGCCATATGTATTATTGCATTTTTCAATTTCAAATACCTACTTCCATATAAGGTCAATTCGAAATGAAAATATGAGCTTTCTGTAGATCACCATCCCTACATTGAACTGTTCCGTACTTAGTTTGGGACATGTTTATCCCTTGAGCACTGTGTGATTGTTTATAAATTATTTCATACCTGTCCCTCATTTATGACTTATCTGGCTTGTTTTGTCCATGAGGTTTCTAACTGGGAAAAAAGTATCGAATAAAGTCACCTTTAGAAGTTTTCACTGTATGATAATATACCAGAATATAATGAAAATTTTCTAATGAAAATGACATGTTCATATTAACATTAAAATATTCCCCAGTAAAGTTGAGCATATACTCACAAGCTAAGAAAGACAATCACAAAACAATCTTTTTTATAATCTCATTCTGGAAAATAAATATTTACCTATACATGGAAAAATGTCCAAAAGCTATATGCTTGTAGTGGGGTTTTATTGGATACTTTTCACTCACATCCATCCTCACTTCACATTCTTAATAAAAGTCCTGATTTCCAAAAAGAAATTGAGGAAATAGAGAAGAGAAAACATCAGTGTAAGATTTTTAATAATTCCCTAGAATGAGTTTCTAGATTGAAGGAGACACTAAGTCCAAAACAATCAATGAAAATAGTTTCATATCAGCCCAAATCACTGACATTTCAAAATGGTGAGGATGAAGTAAGATCCTACAAGCTTTCTGAAAGAAAAGAAAACAGCAGCAGCGACAGCATCCACAGGTGACAAGGAAGGGATGGGAATTAGAATTTAGCTTTCTTTTTTCCCAGCAACAACATTGGGAGGTAGATTGCAAAGAAATAATACTTTCAAAATTCCAAAGGAAAACCATTTTTTAATCTAAAATTCTATTCCTAGCCAAACTATCTATTGAGGAGGAAGGTAGAAGAAAAACATTTTTTCAGACACTTTCTTAAGGTAATGGAAACGTGCTCCACCAAATAAGGTAAATAAATGAACAAAAATAAATACATGGGACTCAGGGAACAGGATAACCAAGAGTATAGTCAAAGAAATTTCAAGAAGGAAGGTTAATGGGGACCCAAAAATGACTGCTGACCAGCAAGAATGAAGGGCAAGCAAGACCCATGGCAGGAGTTCTAATATTTGAGGTTGTGGAATGTGCAAGGCTCTGTATCAATAGCCACCCTGGAGCTGAACAATCAGACATGGCAGAAGTCAAAAGCACCTTCTGTTTTATTGGTGAGGTTCACAATGACGATGGCAAATGACTGAAACCAAAGGGAAACACAAAAAATATGTTCGTAATCTGAGCCGCTACACAGACATGAGATGCCTCATGTGGGCGAGATCTCCCTGATCCCTGTAGAAAGCAGTGAAGTTGAAAAAGCAAAGCTATCAGGATACAGCCACATTGTTTACATATAGATGGAATATCCCGGAAAGACCACCCAAGACTCTGCCTTGTGGACAGAGGAACAGCGTGGCTGGGGAAGTTGTGCCCTGGATGCACACTCTTTGCATATTTGTTCCTTTGGGCTTTTTATTGGATAATGTATCATAGCATCAATAAAGGGAATAAAATTAAATTCGGCTGGGCATGGGGGCTCACGCTTGTAATCCCAGCACTTTGGGAGGCCGAGGCGGGCAGATCACGACGTCAGGAGATCGAGACCATCCTGGCTAACATGGTGAAACCCCATCTCTACTAAAAATGCAAAAAAAAAACTAGCTGGGCTGGTGGCGGGAGCCTGTGGTCTCAGCTACTCGGGAGGCTGAGGCAGGAGAATGGTATAAACCCGGGAGGCGGAGCTTGCAGTCAGCCAAGATTGCGCCACTGCACTCCAGCCTGGGTGACAGAGCAAGACTCCATCTCAAAAAAAAAAAAAAAACAACAATCAAATTCATTCTCTAAAATAATAAGGACAAGGATAAGAACAGAGAGAGGCTTTGAATACTCAGAAAAGATCAAGTAGTCAGCACTTTCCTCTGTAGAGGCTGACCTAGCCATGAGTCCTGCAGAGCTATAGTGATCAGAGAGCAGTAGGCTGAGTCTCAGGGCTCCAGAGTCCTGGGAGTGGGCGTGTGGGAGCAGAAGGATGAGCTGCAGGAAGGAATTCTCTTAAAAAGTAATAGAAAGCTTAAATATAAAACCAGGAGCGCAACGTGTACCGAAAGTAGAGCAAATGACAAAGAGATGAAAAGAAAGAGAGAGAAAAATGTTTTAA